>NC_000015.10:85077641-85229156 GCF_000001405.40 Homo sapiens | reverse complement strand
CTTAAAACAAAGAAAGGAGTGAGTTTGGCCTATTCATTAACTTTTACTCTTTAGACAGTTCAAATGTTTATTGAGTTCTTCTACAGGGCGAGCCCTGCCTTCTTCATGCTTACCAAGAAGCATTTTTACGCGGTTTCTCTAATGTTTGGGTGAACGGTACCTCACTAAGTTGTTTTTCACGCACGTGCGTGCTCGTTCCTGAAGAGTCCTGTCCAGGTGCTCTGCCCGCTTTTCCTTTCAGGCTTCTGTATCAGCTGCCGTTTCCCTATAGAACGTGCCCTGACCTCCACCCCTTAACCCTAACCAATTTGCCTTTACATGTCTGACCATCCATCAAGGCTCTTTTGGGTCATATTCAGTCCATGTTGATATTTCCCCTTCCTCCCTTCTTTAGTCCTTACTATTTTTGCTTTGGTCATGTTTTCTTACACTGTATTCTGTAAGCCTGTTTAATTTTTTTATGGTGGCAGGGGAAAATATTTTATAATTATGCTTTGTGCTTTTTATCTTCCACTCAATAAATGCTTGGTAAATATTTGTTTTATTGAATGTATGAGCCTATTCTAGCTATATTGTGCTTGAACAAAAATCTTAACTGCCTTGTAAGTTAACTGCTAAGAATTTGTCAAAAGTGCAGAGATAACATCAAGAGCTTGTCATGGATAGTACAAAAAGGTCTCTAAGGGCTTGATGGAAGTCTGTAAATTGACTTCCTATGAAAGAGAGTGTAAGAAGTGAAAAAAAGCAAAACAGAGTAGATGTTTTACTCTGTTTGCCAAGGGATTTGTGCTATTTTTTTCCTGTTTTATAAATTTGCCCTAATCTTAAATAATGAAGGGAAAAGAGCACTCTTTTTCAACCAAGGAATCCTTTTTATACTTCTTTTCTGTGAAGCCATGTTATGAAAGATTGTTATACAAACTTAAGTATAGTTTTTCCATCTTCAGTAACAGACCTGATTGCCATCTAGTTACTGGTTCTGATCACACAAGAATGCAAAGCAGCTTGTTCTAATAACTTGTGCAGGCCTATTGGGAACTAGTATATGGCTTTGAGTCCTTTTGAAGTATTTAACATAATTTGGCAATTCCATTACGCCTTTTATGGACTTCTTGGCATCTATGAACTCTTGGTAGGGAATCACTGTTTTAGAATGAAAAATGTCTCCCAGGAAGTAAATTAGCCGGTAAACAAATGAAACTTCATTTTTTATATGACTTGTAGAGCATAAATTATTACTCTTTCTGCATAAGTGGCTGCTTTCTAGGCTGCTTTTAGCGAGATTGTTAGAAACAAATGATTGGTGCTGTGAGGAAGAAGCAGCACTCAGGCAAAAAAGTTTTCTCAGCAAGACAATTTGCTTCTGCAAGTATGCTGCTTGCATTAGTCATGATTGCAAGAGCACACCAAACGGGGTGGAGCAGGGGTTCTTATCCCTAATGCACTCCCTACCTCTGTGTCATTCCAACATGGGCTGGGGTAGGACTGCACAATCTTAGCTGACTCAGCTGGATATTGTGAATATTTTCTCTAATAAGAAAGGGAGGGGGAATGTGAGTTACAGATTGGGGCTGGTAGGAAGAGTTGTTTACAAGGCAGGTTACTAAGCAGGTAACTAAGCTGGTAAGTAGGGTCGAGAAGGTACAGGGAAATTGTTCTTAGGAACAGAGAACAAGGAAGTTGAACAAGTTAAACCTTTGAAGAGGAACTTACTGTACCTAACAATTCCCCCCTCTTAATTTTTGTAATTCTTCCTCTTCAAACTTTTTTAGCATGTCTTTGCTTTGCTGTTCTGCTTGGTTTTCTAGAAGGAAAAGCTTATCTGAATAGGGTGGAGGAGAGCTAAGAGAGGTTTTGGTAAGTTCTGTGTCTATGAGTCTTTGCAGTAGTCCACAAATGTATGGTATGATACAGCATCCAACAAGAATAAGCACACCTATAACGATTGCAAGAGAAGTAAATATTGAGGACATTGAGCCTTTCCATTTTCCAGACCATTTCTCCATTAAACTTGTAAAGGGATCATTTATTCCAGAATTGCTTGCTAACTCATTGGATAAGGAGGTTAGGTCCTGCAAAGCTTTTGTTACTGTTCCGTCAGGGGCTGTGTTATTAGGAATAAAAGTACATCATTGGACTCCAATCATGACACAGACACCACCTTTTTCTGCTAGCATCGTATCTAGGGCTATCCTGTTTTCCCAGACTATTTAGTTAATGGGACCTAATTGGGAGGCTGTTCCCTTAATGGCATGTCTTGTGTAGTTAACAAACCTTTGTTGGTTGTAATAAATGTAGTTTATCCAATCTACATTTTTATTTACAGTTGACCACCAAAACAGCACAGATTCAAATCCTGAAGCTGTTTGATTTCGGGCCTTAAATTTATCTGGTACCCCTCGTGGAACTCCAGTAGCATCTTTATAAACGTGGGAGTCAAAGGACCCATGAAGGTCACTTCTTCTCTTCTGATTTTCTCTTCTATTATGTTAATGGAATGCTAGGGTGAAAGGGATGGCCAGTTGGACTAGAGCACAAGTACCACTCCAGTTACTTGGCAGAGTGTCCAGTAAGGGTCCACCACAATACCACCATACGTATGCTCGAGGATGAACAAGGGCAGACTGACTGGTAAGCTCTTGGGAGAGTTTAAGTTCACCGCATCCCTTTAGGTCTTCATGAAATGCCAAGTTTTCCCCTTGTTGTGAGAGACCCGAGGTAAAAATTGGTGTCAATAGATGGAGGCTGGATGGCCCTCAGGGACTGACCTGCAGGGTGTTGGACTTTAGGGAATAGCAGAGAGAGAGCTTGGCAAGATTCATTACCCCAGGCTGTGGGGTCTTGGAGAAGAGCTACCATACAGCTCATGCCCAGTTGGCTGGAAGACCATCCGAGTGGAAAGGGGACAACCTGGGCCTCTGGCCTACTGTGCGCACAAGTGTAACAGTTGCTTTTGTTTAGAGTGCGGACAGAATATTTAATCCATTCTAACCAAGCATTTGCATCTTGGTACCCTGTCTCAGTTGCTATGGTTTGTTTCAAATTTTTAACTTCTACAATGGCTTACCTTGATTTTATCCTTGGTTGAAGGAAGAACAGTGGTTTCGTTGAGAGAGAGTGTAGAAGGAGGTGGAGGAGGTGAGAAAGTAATGAAATGCATTTCAAAGGATTCTATAAGATGTGTCCCTGCTATTTTGGCTCCTATGCCGTATAAGCGACTTAAAGTAGGTTTAGGGTTGGCAGAAGTGGGGATAAGAATAGAAATTTGCACTGGATTACATTGGTTATACTGGCAGTCGGGGTGGGGAATGTTTCCTTTAACAAAGCAAACATGGTTTTAGAGACTTACAACTGCCTGTTGACAAAGCCCTGATGTTCAGTTGTCCACATAATATCATTCCAGCTGTGGCAGGCCTGTTTCCCTACATTTCTTAAGGAACAAGAGTCGTAATGGGGGAGGCTTTTGTCTGAAAGGGACGGAGATACTTCTCTGAGGCTGAGAGTTGCTTTTGACTTTGGAGATCTCCACAGGATATAACAAGGCAAGCATCAAAGGTAATAGTTTGGGGTGAGCTCGACCTAGTTACATTAATAACGAGAGGACTAGCAATAGAAGGGGAAAAGAAATATAGCATAAGAGGATCAAACCCGTTTTAGCTTTAACTTGGTTGGAATTGGCCCTGAAATAGCTGTCCATGATTCTGGAGTGGGTGGTGCTCTTTTGACTCAGGTATGGTGAGTCCATTCTTTTTCAGTGGTGTGGACGGCTGTCTCAGTCATTAGAAACACTAGATAATGTCCCTCCCAGGTGGGCTTGAGCTTCCTTTCTTTCTGACCTCTGATGAGAATGTGATCACTGTCCGGGCTGGTGGTGGTGAACTGGAAATTCAAGGGGTGGTGTATGTGCCAAGAGGCCTTTAGTCCTAAGGAAAGAGAAAGTGGAGGATAGACCAAGTATATAGTTCTTGAGAAACAGATCTTTTGTTTCGAACGAGGAATGTCAGCAGTGGAGTGTAGATAAGGCAACTCATACAGCATTTCATAAGGAGGTGAGCTGACATCTTTCCTAGGGGCAGTTTGGAATCTTCACAAGGCCATGGGGAGGCATTTAGTCCATGGCAACCGAGTCTCTAGGACTAATTTGGTTAGGTGGTTTTTCAGAGTCTGATTCATTCTTTCTACTCTTCCTGATGAAGGTGGGTGCCAGGGGTTATGGTAGTCCCATGTTATATCTAGTACTTGGGCTAGTTTCTTAAGAACATGTGCAGTGAAATGAGTCCTGTTGTCTGAATCAGCATTTTCTATTAATCCAAACCTGGGTATAATATTTTCAACTAATGCCTTGAGTACATTACTAGCAGTTGCACTTGAAAAGGGAATAGCTTCTACCCAATGAGTAAGGTGATCTATCACTAATAAATATTTTAAGTGACCAATTGGGGGCATTTCGGCATAATCAATTTGGACACTTTGGAACAGCCTTAATCCTGGATTTCTCCCTCCAACAGGTGGTTTTCTGAGGATCTGCTTATTAGTCTTCTTACATACTAGGCAACTATCTGTAACTTGTCTTGCCAAAATGTAAATTCCTATACATCTGTAGACCCCGAGGACTGCATCACACTTAGCTTGAGGTCCCTAATGAGTCCCTTGATGCAGATGAAAGAGGATTTCCCTCATGAGGGGTTTGGATAACATTTCTCTTTGGTCTGGTGACACCCATTTCCCTTCTGAATTTTCTTTGGCTCCTATTTTTATTAATTTTTCCTTTTCAGCGGGAGAAAAGATGGGGACTGCAGTCGAGGGAGGAAGGCAAGGGGCTAAGTGAAAAACAGGCATTTTCAGAGGAAACGGCAGTGTGTTTGGCTATTTGATCTGCTAGGTTATTCCTTCCGCTTTGAAAAGAAAGACCTTTCTGATGTCCTGGAACATGGACAATAGCTATTCTGGCAGCTGCAGGTTATCTAATACTTGGGTGATTAATTCTTTGTGGCCCAGGTCTTGGCCTTTGCTATTAATAAGATCTCGTTCAGTCCAAATTTTTCCAAAGGTGTGAGCTGCCCCAAAGGCATACTTGGAATCAGTATAAATAGTCCGTTCTTGGTTTTGCAAGTGCTTTAAGGCTTGATTTAATGCAAACAATTCATTCACATGTTTGGGCAGACCAATTATTTGGCAGGCTTCCTGACTCTACTTCTTCAAGTGCCTCCCCATCTACTACTGAGTACCTATTACGCCTTTTTCCTTCAATTACTTGGGAAGAGCCATCTATAAAGAAGCCCTGCCCCGTTTTGTAAGGGGTCTCTCTTAAATCAGGCCTAACTTTTGTATGATCATTAAATCTAAACACTCATGCTCAGGTCTCTTTAGATTTGAATCTCCAGTCAGGAAACCTCTGGGTTAAGTGAATTATCAGTGGTTAGTGTTAAATCATCTCTTTCTAACAGGATAGCTTCATACTTTAAAATTCTCAAGTCAGTAAGCCACCTTCCTGCCTTTTAATTTAAGATGGCTCTAACCTGATGGGGCATGTTTACAACTAACTTTCCCCCAAAGGTTAGTTTTCTGCTTTCTTTAGTTAACAAGGCGGTAGCTGCAATGGATTGAAACATTCAGGCCATCCACAGGTTACTGGATCTAAAACTTTTGATAGGAGATCCATGGGTTGCTGGTGACCTCCGTGTTCTTGGGTAAGGACCCCTAAAGCTACCCCCTTATTTATGTTAACAGAAAGGTGAAATGGCTTTTCTAGGGAAGGCAAAGCTAAAACAGAGGCAGTTATAAGCAGATGTTTTAGCTCCTCAACCTGGTGGAGTTCTTCAGAAGTCCAGAGGAGAGGGTCAGGCTTTTCTTGGGTGATTTTTAGGTAGAGAGGCTTTATGACAAGGGCATATGAGTCAATCCATAAGCGGCAATATCCGGCTATCCCTAGGAATTTTCTGAGTTCTTGTTTAGTCTTAGGCAAAGGTATGGATACAATCCCTTCAACCCTCTCAGGCCCTATCCTTCGTTTGCCGTTACTTATTAAGTGTCCTAGGTATTTAACTTCAGGCTCTATGAATTGAAGCTTTCTCTTTGAAACCCATAGCCCCTCTCCTTACAAATGGTTAAGGATATGGATGGAGAAAGCAGATACCTTTTCTATAGCCTAACCGGATATTAATAAGTCATCTACGTACTGGAGCAGACATATACATTTTGGGGTATAAACTTGTTCTAACACTTGTTCTAGAATTTGACCAAAGAGATTAGGGGAATCTGTGAAGCCCGGGGGTAGAGCTGTCTATCGATACTGTTGCTGTCATCCAGAATGGGGATCTTCCCATTCGAAAGCAAAAATGTCTCAGCTCTCCTCATCCAAGGAGCATGCTCAAAAGGCATCTTTTAAACCTATTACTGTAAACCATTGATGTTCATATGGAATTTTACTGAGAATGGTTTAAGGATTAGGGACAACAGGATGGGTAGTCTAGACTGTCTGGTTGATGGCCCAGAGGTCTTATGCTAGTCGACATGACCTATCTGGTTTCTTCACAGGCAGTATTGGGGTGTTATAAGGGGACATACAGGGTTCAAGGAGCCCATCCTTGATGAGGCTTTCAATTACAGGTTTCAGGCCTATTCTGCCTTCTAAAGGAATAGGATATTGCTTTCTTCTTACTATTTCTCCAGGGGTTTTTAACTTTATATGTATAGGGGGAATTTGGAGTTTTCCCCAATTTCCTTCCCTTGCCCAAACATCAGGATGAATGTATGTTTCTTCTGCAGTGGTGAGCAGGTTTAATGAAGTGTAGAATCCTTCTGAGCCAATACGTAAACCTATACCTAATTTTAACATTAAGTTTCTTCCTAATAGATTAGTTCCTGCCTCTGAAATTAACAAAAATTCAACATTAGCTGAGCAGTTTTTACATCTAATTTCTGTTTCTTTTAAAATTTTTAGTTTGATTCCCTCTCCTTTTACCCCTGAGACTACAAGCTCCTCTGAGGACCAGGTTATATTGTGGGGGAAGGTAACAAACAGAGGAGCAGGCTGCTCCTGAGTCTACTAAAAAGGTCATAAGCTCAGATTTGGGTTCCACTTCTAAATTTATCAAGGGCTCTTGGTGGGATTCAAGGTAAAAGAGACAGAGCCCCTAACCCCCCTATTCCTCCTCAAAGGTCGTAAGTGGGATGACTTCTCTTTCTGATTTTAATTTGGGACAATACCTCTTGAAGTGGCCTACTTTCTCACAATTGAAGCATTGATTCTGTCTCTTCTCTCTATTTTTGGGTTTCTCGGCTTTGCCTCCTTATGTTCTTTATATGGCTTAGGAAGTGGGGGCCTAGGATCTTTATAGGTTTTGGCTCTCGGGAGGCTTTGTTTGGGAGTGTGTGGGTCTCTGGGTAACAGAGAGTAATACTGGTGTGTTTTATCCTTTGGGGCCCCCTGTTGGAAGGTGGATAACATAATTTTCATTTTTTCTTTTTGCTTCTCCTCATCCCTCCTTACACACACTTTCTGAGCTTCTCTAAGAAGCTCGTTCGTGGGATGGTCCTTCCAATTTCCTATCTTTTGTAATTTCCTTGTGATATCTGGCTGTTAGTAACAAAATGAAGCTTTAACATTCACTGCCTAAGAGGATCTTCTAAATCTAGGCCAGCATATTTTCTCATTTGTTCTTTCAACCTGTCTAAAAGTTCGATAGGCCCTTCATCTTTCCTTTGTTGTATGTCGAATGCTCGAGTAAGATTTTGGGTTCGGAGTACTGACTCCCGAATCCCTTTTATTATCATTTCCCTAAGTTCTTGCGTATCCTCTTCAGTGGGCTGCGTTATTATTGTCCCAGCAGGGGTCTTGGTTGGGGAATTTTTGATCCGCTGCATGAATGTTTTGGCCAGGAGGGTGTTCATGTTCCCAGGCTACCATAGCAGCTCTACAGATGATGCTTCTTTCTTCCCCTGAGAAAAGGATGCCTAGGATGGACATTAACTCAGCCCAAGTATATATAACTGTGGTCCTAGAAATTGGTTAATTCGATCTGCTATTCCACTGGAGTTGTCTAATAGTGTGGCTTGAACTCTGTTTTTAGGTTTTGGACCTCCGAGCTGGTTAAAGGAGCATTTACAAAGTGAATACCTCCTCCTCGTAGGGACACCTCTCTTCAGGGGAAGAGAGGTGGAGCTAATTCTCCCGAGGTAGAGGGGAAGGGGAAGTTCTGAATATCCCTTTTACATTGCTCTATCTCACATTGAAGTCCTTTCAGGGAAGAGTACTTAGGGTGATAGTGAGCAGGCTGTTGGGACAATTCCCAAGAGGCAGGGTTATAAAGAGGGGGAACAATGTGGGTAGGAGAAGGGTCTGGGACAACTGCCTCTGCTTGAGGGGGAGGGAGGTTAGGGGTATTGGACGGGGGAAGGTGGTGGAGGAAGTTCCATGTGTTGGTGAGCTGTCTAGGAACAGGGACCTTATCTTTCTCAGAGGAGTTAATTTCTGACTTGCTTTTCAGGATTGATTCCTGAGTCCAAATGAAACAACAATATTTTATCATTTGCTGCTTTTTCTTGTATTTAGTCCTTTCACTCTCTTTCCAATATTTTAGCATAAGCCCTAGGGGACTATCAGGAGGAATGTTATTGTTGCTAGCTTTATCCTTTTTCTCCCCTGCATTACTTGAGGTATTTCCCATCTTGAAAAGGGATTGGGGTGAGGCTCAATTTCCCCTACTAGAAATTTCTTCCCAGTTACGAGAGGTTTGTATAAGGCTCAACCTCTCCTACTGGAGATTTCTCACCTTTCCTTTCCTTTCCTTTCCTTTCCTAGAGGCTCAACCCCCCTGCTGGAGGTTTCTTGCACTTTTCTCCTTTCGCTTCATCCTTCTCTGGCTGCTTCCCTCACGGGAACGTTGGTTTCCTCTTAGCAATGGCTGTTTCAGTAGAAACCCCTGACCCAGACTCCTTTACAGAAAGGCTACCTTAAGCTGTATAAGGTGACCACAGAACTGCAGATCTGGACTGAACACTTGCTTTGCACTCAATTGTGAGTCTCAACACACACTTTCAATCTCCAAGATATCCCAACCACCAAGAAAATACTTTGTCGCTCTTGTGATGTTTCTTACGTTGGTCTGTGCACATAGTTACCTGGTCACCATGGTATGTGAGGATCCTTTTCTCTTAAGTTGTTGGTCTGTTCCTTTCCAGACTGCTGAGAGTCCGGGTTTATTCATCACACTGGGTGGGTCCTGATCCCTCACCATGAGGCCACCTCAATGAGGCAGTGGGATGCTTCTCCTCACTATTGGTGACTGGAGACCCTTTTCTCAGAGGAGAATGGGAATTCCGGACGAGCCCCCAGATTGTTAGAAACAAATGATCAGGCTGGGCGCAGTGGCTCGCCCCTGTAATCCCAGCACTTTGGGAGGCCGAGGTGGGCGGATCATGAAGTCAGGAGATCGAGACCATCCTGGCTAACATGGTGAAATGCCGTCTCTACTAAAAAAAAAAAAATACAAAAAAATTAGCTGGGCGCAGTGGTGGGTGCCTGTAGTCCCAGCTACTCAGGAGGCTGAGGCAGGAGAATGGCGTGAACCTGGGAGGTGGAGCTTGCAGTGAGCTGAGATCAAGCCACTGTGCTCCACCCTGGGCAACAGAGCGAAACTCTGTCTCAAAAAAAAAAAAAAAAAAAGAAAGAAAAAAGAAACAAATGATCAGTGCTGCAAGGAAGAACCAGCACTCAGGAAAAAAAGTTTTCTCAGCAAGACAACTTACTTCTGCAAAAGAGTGCTGTTTGCATTAGTCACGAATGCAAGAGCACACCGAGCAGGATAGAGCAGGAGTTTATATCCCTAACGCAGTCCCTACCTCTCTGTCATTCCCACATGGGCTGGAGTCGGACTACACAATCTAAGCAGACTTGATTTGCTATCGCGAATATTCTCCCTAATAAGGAAGGGAGAGGGAATGTGAGTTACAGGTTGGGACTGATGGGAAGAGTTGTTTACAAGGCAGGTAACTGAGCAGATAACTAAGCAGGTAAATAGGGGTGAGAAGGTACAGGGAAATTGTTCTTAGGAACAAAGAACAAGGAAGTTGAACAGGTTAAACCTTTGAAGAGGAACTTACTGTACCTAATAAGTTTTTTTGATTGGCTAATTAAATGTCTATTCATTATTGCCAAAAAGTGCCTACCCCAACAACAAGATACCAAATTTTAGAAAATGTTGGAGCTCTCTCTGAATCTAGGAGGAAGTGAGTAGTTTAGCTTTTATTTAGTAGTTAGGACCTTAAGTAAATCACTTTTTTTACTGTGTTTCTGTATAACATAGATAATATTTTTTGCCCTGCAAGAGAGCATATAGAGGAAAGCTCTTTGGCAGCGATACTGTGCCCTATGAATAAAAAAGTGATGGTGTCATTTGTGGCTGAATAACAGTTTATTTTGAGAATGCTTTATAACAGCTTTTCATGGGAAATAAAGCAATGCTGTTAACTTCATCTTGCATTTTTCTCATTTTTACTATGATTAAAAAGTAGTCAGCTTGTACAAAGGAAAGAAACAAGCCTTGACTCAGGAGCCTAGGACTTTTTCTTTGGTTTGCCCTCCTGGAACAGATTACCTTTCCAAATTGAATTTGTGGAGGAGCATTGGGAAATATCAGAAATGTCATATTAAGCACCTCAGTGGTACTTTTAATAGAGGAGTTATTCAGAAATTATACTAGGCAGATAGAGAGGGTAAGGAGGCCTCAGTAAGGCTTTCCCTTTTAATAGAAACAACTCCAGAAACATTTCTTTTTCTTTTCTTTTTATCTTTTTTTTGGAGACGGAATCTTGCTCTGTCACCCAGGCTGGAGTGCAGTGGTGTGATCTCAGCTCACTGCAGCCTCTGCCTCCCAGGTTCAAGTGAATCTCCTGCCTCAGCCTCCTGAGTAGCTGGGACTACAGGCTGCCAAGCTTTGATATGCAAATGCCAGCACTTAGAAACTGTGTCCATTCAACATGGAGATTCCCACCCTCTTCTTCTAGTCACCACCTCAAGGTGACACCTCCAGATGACCCCATGTGTGCAGGACAACATGGTGACCTACATTTGCATATTAAAAGGCTAGGGTGGGAGGGCCACGTTTTTCTCGGGCTACATGAATGACCTGCCTGGTCAAACCAATGCCCTGGGCCCTGTGCAAATCAGACACCACCTCCTCCAGCCTCCCAATATAACCGAGTACTGTTCTGCCACACACGGGGCTTTTTCTCTGTTCAGACCCCCTTTTTCTGTACCGCAGGGAGCCTTTCTTCTTTCTTGTCTATTAAACTTTCTGCTCCTTAAAACCACTCCTGTGTGTCCATGTCGTTTAACTGGCGTGAGACAAAGGACCCCGATGTTTCTCCCGTTTTCAGAGCCATATCACTTTGAGTCCAGAGGAATTATTTTCATTTATCTGACCAATTTATAATATAGGGTCAAATTCCTAGTGGTTATCCTCCCTCATCCCCATTTTTATACCCTTCCTTGAAAGGAACAGGTATATGAAGAGGAGACAGGTTTCCCTTTTGTGAATAGTATATCCCTTAGTATCTTGAATTTTTTTTGGTGGGGGTGGGGGGAGTTAAACTTACTTAGACCTGGTAAAGGGCAGTATTTGATAAATGTCAGCTAGTTTAGGGTTAGGGAATTGAGTTGAATGGAGATAGTCACTGCCAAATGTAAAGCATGACTGGAGAGCCACAGTGATGAAGCCAGGGTCCCTTTCTCCAGATCCTTTGTAACAGTGTTATGTGATCTCTTCTAGAAGATTGTTCTGAAAGATAATGCCAACTCGGAACCTAGGAAACCATCCAGTGGGTTTCTGCAGCTTAGGTGGTTCAAATCCTCATCAGCACGTTTGTTTTCTCTGCCTCAGTTTGCTTACAGTGATGTTCTCAGTAGCTGTAATTGCTGTCTTTGAATACTTAAGCATTTTTTTTTAGCTCACAGGGGTATGTGTGCATTTTTCTTTTACCAAGTGTTAGAACTTTGACTCTGCTTTTGTGGGCTCTGGTTTAGCAACTTGGTTGTTTAGTTGTAAAATGATTAGTAGGGAAAACCGTGTGTGTGTGTGTGTGTGTGTGTGTGTGTGTGTGTGTATTTTAAGTTTCTTTTGTTCTCAGAGCACTTAGAATTTTATATGGAAATTCTATCAGTTTACTTGATTCTCCACCCCACATTTCTTAAACAGCAAAGTATGAAGGTAATGCGTCCCATAACCAGCCTTCAGAAGAATTACAGCTGCTGTGTCTCTGAACTTTCAAGAAGTTTGTGCATCAATTTTCAAAAAATTATGAAATCCTTGAAGATAGCTGTGTTCTACATTTGGAAAGATACAAAAACTGAACCTTCTAGCAGGCAGTTTTGCTTGCTGGTGCTTGAGATAGAGCCACACATTGGTCTCAGTGGATTTATGGAGAAAAATAGGTACAGAAAGTTATTTCTAAATAAGACCAAAAATCCTTTCCTTAAGCAGTGACAGGTAAAGAGGTTGTCTTGGCTAATATTGAATTGTGTTGCCCTTGATTGAGACAGTTTTATGGTGGGGATGGTAGTGGTGATAAACTTGTTTGAAATTTGTCCACCTATAGTAACCTTTGTGGTAGCTGTCACAGACAGCTTCATCCTCACAGGCCCTAAAATTACTATAAAACTAATAGATTGGAGGAGAAACAAAGGACCTGAATAATTAGATGCTTAGATAATTGTTCTGTGTTTTCATAACAAGTGAAAAAGAGCAGTGTTAGAAGTACTTAAACTTTCCATGTAAGGAGCACTGCCTGAATTTATATTGTGATTTTAGAGCATCATTCACTGTTTAAAAACAGGCATATTGTGGGTCATATTTTAAAGACAAACAGAAAACTTATCTTTTCAAGATGGATCTAAAGCTTAACCTTATCAAAATTACAAAATGTGAAGGATATGATTGAAAAATATTAATGCATAGGTTTAAATATTGGTCATCATTTTAGATGTCTTTCAAAATAGGTTGTCTCTTAAATATTAAACTGAACAAACATTGAACTTGTTGTAGAGTTTGTGCTCAAGGTTAAGTTTCCTGGGGTGATGGATATTTGATAATATGGATAACAAAAAGTTCTTAAGAAATTTAGAAAATTTTTAGGCAAAACTAGAAAATAATACTGATAATTCTACCACTCAGAATGTACCACTATCAGAATTTTGTATCTTTCAGTCATCTGCTCATCTCTTTTCTCCTTTGCTTGTATGTGTTCCCTCTCCCTTAAAAAATCAGATTTTTTTTTGTAATCTGCATTTTCACTCAATATTGTAGATCTGTGTCATAAGTTACTCCTCTACAGTGCCTTCAGTTATTGTGTGCTTTGTGTTGGATGACTGTACCATCTAGTCTTTCGTGTTTCCTGGTACTGACTACATAGGGGTGAGTGTGTGTGTGTGTGTGTGTGTGTGTGTGTGTGTGTGTGTGTGTGTGTATATTTTTTTTCTACCTTAACTAATGCTTTGGACATCATCAACAGGTAGAGCTAAATCCTTGAAACCTTCCAAGTGGTGGCTTTCAGTTATTGCTGAATTGGTTTTTAGAGATGGAACAAATTATATTGTATGGAAACTTTTTTTTTTTTTTTGAGACAAAGTCTCACCTTGTCACCCAGGCTGGAGGGCAATGGCATGATCTTGGCTCACTAAAACCTCCACCTCCCAGGTTCAAGTGATTCTCTTGCCTCAGCCTCCCGAGTAGTTGGGATTACAGGGGCCTGCCACCATGCCCGGCTAATGTTTGTGTTTTTACTAGAGATGGGGTTTCATCATGTTGGCCAGGCTTGTCTCGAACTCCTGACCTCAGGTGATCCACTCACCTTGGTCTCCCAAAGTACTGGGATTACAGGCATGAGCCACCATACCCAGCCTTTTTTTCTTCTAGGTACCAGCTTTTATTTATCAGATTGGTATAAATGTTAGAAAGCGTGCAATGAAATGGGCATTTTCACAGTCGTGGCAGAAAGTATAATTATCTTTGACTTTCTAGAAAGCAGTCTGGCATTCTAGAAACTTGCCTAACCTCTTCCCATTTAGACAAGATGAGTTCTGACAGGGCCAGCCTTGTCCCTGTGATTCCGTATCTCCCAGAAAGAGAGGTCTAGTGTCAGGGAAAACCCAGATTTTCTTGGCTTAGCCCACCTGACAGCTAATCACTGGAAATGGGGTGGGCCGGTAGAGTCCTTTGGTCAGGTTTTGTGTCAAGAGAGGGATGTGGAAAGATGGGAGAGAGGTAGCAAAACTGGCCTCAATGGAACTATGTAAGTTAACATAGAATGGCAAAGGAATGTTTCTTCCAAGGAAGAAATTCTAGGGAAGGAATAAAGTGGAGGGGAAGGCAGCAGTTCTCAAAGTTTTGGGGTCAGGATTCCTTTACACTCTTAAAAGTATATTGAGGGCCCAAGGAGCTTTTGTGTATGTAGGTTATATCTATTGGTATTTATCACTAGAAATTAAATCAGAAATACTTAAAATATTCCTTAAAAGCTCACAAAATATTGTTATAAATGCTTTTATGATAAGAAAATTTCTAAACCCAAGGTAGTACAGTCTTACGTCTTTTGCAAATTTCTTTGATGTTTGATATGTCATTTGTACCTGCATTCAATTTATTGTGTGATATTTGCTTGAAAAAATGTGAACAAAGGACAGTCTCATACAGATAGGCATTTCAGATCATTATGGATATTTCTTTTTGCTTTCTTTCTTTTTTTTTTTTTTGAGATGGGGTCTTTCTCTGTCTCCCAGGCTGGAATGCAGTGCTATGATCATGGCTCACTGGAGCCTCATTCTCTGGGGACTCAGGTGATCCTCCCACCTCAGCCTCCAGAGTAGCTGGGACTACAGGTGTGTACTACCCCACCTTGCTAATTTTTTGTATTTTTTGTAGAGATAGGGTTTTGCCATAGGTATTCAAATAGAAAGTTTTGTTTTTGTTTTAGTATATAAAGAAATATAACTTTCCATGTTGGAAAAATTTTTAAAACCTTTTTTTAATTTTAAAACTCATAAGCAACCATTGTTGAGAAAATTGGTAAAGTACAGAAAAGATAAAAGAAAAAAATTAAAGTCTCCCATAATTTCTCTATCTAATATAACCACTATTGACTGTTGACATGATGGTCATTTTCTACCAGTATATAGTTTTTCTTTGCTATTAAAATACATAACCCTTACACATATGCTTAATAGTTGAGGTCATATTCTCTAAAGTTTAAAATTCTTTTTTTTTTTTTTTTTTTTTTTTTTTTTTTTTTTTTTGAGACAGAGTCTTGCTCTGTCACCCAGGCTGGAGTGCAGTGCCGTGATCTCGGCTCACTGCAAGCTCCACCTCCTGGGTTCCCACCATTCTCCTGCCTCAGCCTCCCCAGTAGCTGGGACTACAGGCGCCCGCCACCATTCCCGGCTAATTTTTTGTATTTTTTAGTAGAGATGGGGTTTCACCGTGTTAGCCAGGATGGTCTCGATCTCCTGACCTCATGGTCTGCCCACCTTGGCCTCCCAAAGTGCTGGGATTACAGGCGTGAGCCACTGTGCCTGGCCCTTTTATATTCTTTTAAAAAGTATTTACTGTATTTTCCTGTGATGTCATAGTCTTTATAGAAAATTTATCATTATTTTCAGTTGACATGATTGTTTACCTAAAAATATCCAAAGGAACCAACTGAGAAAAACAATTTTTAAGATTACTGGTTAAAAGTTCTTTTATATAAAAATCAATAGCCTTCCCCAGTGTTAGCTATAATCACATAGAAGATATAGTGATGAAGTATTTTTTCAGGTATTTCAGCAAAAATTAAATACCTAGGAATAAACTTAGATGTGCAGGACTTTTATCAAGGACAGGACAAAATTTTGCTGAGTGGAATGAAAGATTTGCATTCTATGTTCCTGGATGAGCAGATTTCATGTTATAAATATGTTAGTTATCACCATGTCTTCATATTAATTTGTAAATGTAATTTCTGCTGGGCACAGTGGCTCATACCTGTAATCCAAACAGTTTGGGAAGCTGAGGCGGGTAGATGACAATTAGCTGGGTGTCTGTGGCACACACTTGTATTTCCAACTACTTCTGAGGCTGAGGTGGGAGGAGCACTTGAGCCTGGGAGGCAGAGGTTGCAGTGAGCCGAGATCATGCCTCTGAACTCCAGCCTAGGTGACAGAGTGAGACCCTGTCTCAAAAAAAAAAAAAAAGAACTAGAAAAGTGTGTGTGTATATATATATATATTTCATATTTTATAAATATTTATATATATAAATTGTATATATACATTTTATATTTTATATATAGTGTGTGTGTATTATATATATACACACACACAAATTTCAGTACAAATTCTGGCAGATTTATTTTTGACACTTGACAAAACGACTCTAAAATTTGTTTAGAAGAATAAGTAATAAAAAGTAATAAAGTATAGACTCTTTCAACCAGATAGTAAATAAAATATTGTGGACTATCCCTGGGCCAGACAGATAAAGGCAATGGAAGTTTAGAACCAGAGTCATGCAAACGAGAATTTAGTATAAGGAAAAGGTGGTATTTTAACTTAATACTGAAAAGATAGATTATTCTGTAAATGGTTTTAGGAGAACTATTTGAGGAAGTCTGAGTCTTAACTCCAATTTTTGTCAAAATAAGTTAGTTGGTTTAAACACATCTATTCTTAAAAATTAGAACAGAAGAATATTGGTTTGAAGATATTTTAAGAGTTAAGGCTGAGGCTGGGCACAGTGGTTCACGCCTGTAATCCCAGCACTTTGCGAGGCCAAGGTGGGAGGATTGCTTGAGCCCAGGAGTTTGAGATCAGCCTGGGCAACACAGCAAGACTCTTTCTCTCTCTCTCTCTCTCGATATAGATATACATATAAATATACGTATACAAATAGAAAAAAAAAAGAGTTAAGTTTTGTATGGAGAGCCATGAAGATAAGAGGTAAAAATTAAAGGCTTGATGGACACATGTTTACATCTCCATCAAGGGGGTTGATGGGAAAGAATGATAGACATAGCTCCATTACTGCTACCTCCTTTTAGGAAGTTGCTTCTGAACATCTAAAGATATCAGTTTTATAATAGAAATGAGTTATTTTTCAGTGTCTAAAACATCACATGAGATACATACATACATGCATACATACATAAATATGTTCATAAAGTTAAATGAAATAGGATATAAAATTGGGCCTAGTGTTTAAAAGGTAAATATATTTACATGAAGGAGAAAACAACTCACCTCCCACTCTTAGAGCCTCTGCCAGTTTATCATAGCCTAGTTTCTTGAGAGAATAAGCTACATGTCTTCACCTTTTTTCACTGAGCTCATTATACTCTGGATTCTGCCTTCATCGTTGCACTAAAATTTATCTCCTAGTTGTCAAATCCAGTGGCTCCCCTCTTAGTCCCCAAATTGACCCCTCTGCAGTATTTTGATACTGTTGATTGTTCCTTTGTTGAAACATTCCTCCATTCTTAATGTCCACCAATAAAGAGTTGGTTAAATAAAAATTATAGTGTACCGTTTTATAATAGAATATTCTGTTGTTCTGTTGTGGACCAAAAAATGCAGCCAGTCTTTCCATAAGAGCACGTGCAAACTTCTAAGATATATTAAGTAAAAAAGTAAGGCATAAAATATTGTGTATAATCTGACCCCTTTAGTACACAGTGTAAAAACATCTGTGTCTGTGCTGCTTTATACTTACTTTTTTCTCCCCTGGTGAATACAGGAAACTGTGAATAGTACAACACAATTAAAAAAAAAAAAACTGTGTGTCTGCTGCACCAGGACCTGTGATAATTGGGTATAAAAGACAAAAAAGACATGTCCCTGTCCTCTGGGAAGGGACATGATAATCAAATGAGACTTCTGTCGGATTCTTTTCTCCTGTTTTGATCTTATCACCCTTTCTTGGTCTCCTCCGATCTCTTCTTCCTTGTCCTACTTCTTCTCTTCTCATTCTGTGCTTTCTCTGAGTAATCTTTGACTCCCATTACTTAAGTCATGACCTGTGTTCCAGGGACTCCTAAATTTGTATTCATCTCCAGAGTTTCAAACCCATATATCTGTCTGTATATCATATATTTAGGGAATCTCACTTGGAGTGACATGGGTGTTCAAAATGATGATATTTAAATTTTCACGTATCCATCTCCTAGCACTCTATCTAGTCACATATGCCTAAACCTGGGAACTGTCTTAATATTCTTTTATATACACCTGTTCTGACCTCCCCCCAAAACTAGTAAATTTCTAAGACCTGTCCTTCTGAATGTCTCTTACAATTTTTCCTGTGATCTCAGTTTCTTCCTCCCATCCCTCAAATGCTTTGTGTGTGTGTGTGGTGGGGGAAGAGAGTAAAATTGAAATTTGTGGAAAACGTACTAGCCTGTCTGTCTGTCTTTCGAGGTGAAGTCTCCCTCTTGTCCCCCTGGCTGGAGTGCAATGGCACAATCTTGGCTTACTGCAACCTCCATCTCCTGGGTTCAAGCAATTCTCCTGCCTCAGCCTCCTGAGTAGCTGGGATTACAGGCACCTGCCACCATGCCCAGCTAATTTTTGTGTTTTTAGTAGAGATGGGGTTTCATCATGTTGGCCAGGCTGGTCTCGAACTCCTGACCTCAGGTGATCCACCCGCCTTGGCCTCCCAAATTGCTGGGATTACAGGTGTGAGCCACCATGCCTGGCCACTACCCTGTCTTGTTGCTTGGTATGACTCCACTACCCTGCTGCCTCTCTCCCCGTACAGCAGCATAATTTAGGAATCAGAGAGACTGAGGAGGATATATATTATTAGGTGCACCGGCCCAGTCAGATTAACATCTAAAGGACTGAGCCCTGAACAAAGAGTCAGGTTACCTTTTAAGCATTTTGTGTCGGTCATTATGCCGACAAGGTGTCCGCACTAAGTTCAGTATCAGTATGGTGACCTCCTGGGAACAGGGGGCCATCGGGTTGCCTAAGGATGGGAGAACTGGCTCAGGTCAGAAGGGGAGCAGGTCAGAATTCCTGCGCCAATCGGTAGTGGGACTGTGCCTGGGCAATATAGCAAGATCTTGGTTCTTAAAATTCAAAATAAAGAACAGCTCATTCCCCTCTGGGGAGGGGCTGGCTCAAGGTTACACAGTGAGTGTGGGGGCAGAGGCGGGCCCACTGTACCTCCCTTGTTGGGTTGTCTGAGGACCCCTCTGGCCACCCCCCACAGGAGATGGAGGAGGACATCTGGACAGTGAGCAGGAGGCGCCTCGGCCCATGCCGAACATCCCAGGGGACCTGGAGAGCCGGGAGGCCATGGTGAGCCTGACTTTCCCTGCCCCTACTTTGCCACCTTCCTCTGTGGTCCCTCCGAAACCCCCTTATGTTCTTGGTTTCCCCGCCTTCTGACTTCTGTGGACTTTCACTCCTCCTGGGAGCCAGTGGTCAGACACCATTTCACCTGTGACCAACAGGTGCACTCTGTGAGGCCCGAAAGGAAGGGGCTATGCTCCATCTGCCTGCCCCAGTTGTTATGTGTATACCCCTACAAGAATACTCACCTCTTGTCTTCAGGTGGCATTTTTCAACTCCGCTGGAGCCAGTGCCCAGGAGGAACAAAGGGTGTGCTGCCAGCCCCTGGCTCACCCAGTGGCCTCGTCCCAGAAGAAGCCAGAGGTAGCGGCCCCAGCCCCAGAGAGTGGGGGTGAGTCTGTGTTTGGGGAGACCCACCGGGCCCTGCAGGGGGCCATGGAGAAGCTGCAGGTGAGTAGGTCCTGGCATGGGCCAACAAGGGGGGCGGTGGGGCAGGACAAGGCAGGTGACTCCTGACATGTGACCCCATTATTTTGGCTCCACAGCGACTTTATGGAAGGAGAAGGTGGACCTGAAGGAGCGGGTAGAGAAACTAGAGCTTCAATTCATCCACCTCTCAGGACAGACAGACACCATAGTGAGCGAGAGGCTAGGGCACCGCTGGGGGGAGCTGCCAGGCCATCCGAGGGGCCCCAGCATCTGAGCCATGTCCTCCTGCAGGAAAGTACATCAGCCAGGGGGCAGTGTCAGAGACGCAGCACTGGGAGAGGAGGACATCGTCAGGCTGGCCCAGGACCAGGAGGAGATGAAGGTAGGGTGTGCAACATCTCGGTGGGGGTGGGGGTGGAGGTGGGGGTGAACGTGCGTGCCGGCACCGGCATGGCAGCTAACACCCCTTTCCTCCAGGTGAACCTGCAGGAGCTGCGGGGCAGGTGTTGCAGCTTGTGGGCGACCACAAGGAGGGGCATGGCAAATTTTGACCATTGCCCAGAACCCTGCTGATGAGCCCACTCTAGGAGCCCCAGTAGCCCAGGAGCTTGGGTGTGCTGACGAGCAGGGTGGTGAGTAGAGCCCTCAGGTGGGGTGGGCAGGCAGGAGCAGGGGAGGCTCGCACTGTGCTCAGATTCCCACCCCCCTCCCTCTCTCTGAAGATCTTTGTGAGGTGAGCCTCACTGATAGCGTGGAGGCTGCACCAGGAGAGGACAGGGAGGGTTCTCCCCACGACAACCCCACTGCACAGCAGATCCAGCAGCTGCTTCCTGTAATGCAGGACTCCCCAGGAGCACCCAGGCATGGGCAGCAACCCCTGCATGCCATTCTTTTTGGGCTCCCGAGAACAGGGAGATAAACACCACCATCATCTGAGAGCCGGGAAGGGGAAGGCGTAGGTGTGGGCGTGGCAAGGTTCCTGGAAAAGAGGGGCTGGAAGGGAAAGGGGAGGAAGATGGAGGGAGAAGCTAGAGCTTCATAGGTAGTGCCTGGGGGCTGTGGCAGCCCTCCCCACCCCACACACACTGGCCTCTCTCATGGCACCCAGGCAGTCCACCCACAGTTCAGACCAATGCTCAACCCCCCCGGCTTCCCTCTTCTGTGGTCACCCCATCTTCCAACCCACTGGCCCAGGGCCACCTCTTGCTTGGGGAGCCCCACCCAACAGCCACCAAGCCTGACAGAAGGAACACTGCTTGAACCAAAATGGTGAAGCTATAAGGGATGGCGGGCTGGAGTGAGCGCCAGAGGCCCCTCTCTGGGCAGTCAGAAAGCCCAGGGTCCACTGAAGGGACCCTGGGGAAGGCAGGGAGGGCAGGTAGCTAGATGCCACTGCCCGTAGACTTATAAGTCTAAGAGGGGAGCCTCAACTGGTTGGCGGGGGGCTGCAGGTTGCATAGGTGAGGCTGGGCCCTTCCTGCTGGGAAAAGCAGAAGAGGGAGACTCCGTGGCAGGAAAGGCAGGTGGGCTCGCTAGGCGGAGCTCAGCTGGGCCAGCAAGCACTGTGGTCTCCTTGGCTGAATAGCACAGGTGACCCCTAGGAGCAACAGGCCAAGGTCCGTGAGTCTGCTGGCTGGCAGTAGTGCTTCAGTAGCGCTGGCCAGGGACCCAGCCTTCAGTCACACGCTAGCAGCTGTGATGGTACCTGGGAAGGAGGGAAGGGGGCTGTGTGTCCTTGCATGGCCTATGAAGTGTGTTGTGGGATAACCGTGTGTATTGAACTCTCAGGCTTTTATCCTAGATCACCACTGGATTGCTGACAGATAGAGGAGGTGGGACCCTGACTATCACCCCTAATCTGCAGTGGATTTGGCTCTCGGCACTCCCAGGCTGGGAGCTGGATACCTGCCCTGGCAGCATGGCTCAGACTGCATGACAGGTACGGCGTGCCCAGGATGATGTGCCCAGGCCTCTGGCCGCCTGAGTCCAGCCCCCCACACAACCCCCTCCAAGCTCCCAGCCCCTACACCATAAACCATGAGCTCTGTGCCCTCTCTGATGGTTCCACATCTGCCACCTTGGGCATGGAGCCTGTTGTAAGAGCCCCCAGGCTCAGCCATGGAGACCTTGAGCAGTGGCACTGAGTCCTGTGGCTGGCAGGGAGGGAAGTGAGACAGCCAGCAGCACAAGGACAGAAAGAGGAAAGAGCAAGTCTGCAGCTCTAGAAGGGAGGGGCAGGCAGCCTGGCTCTGAGGCTCCAGGTATGCCCCCTGTGTGGAGCTGGGGCAGCGGGGCAGGCAGACCATTCATGCAGCAGGCAGTGAGGCATGTACCTACCATGGCTGATGCTCCTCAGGGGCCACTGATAGTGATTCTGAAAGACAGCATCAAATCACATGGCAGGTCCCATGCATGGGTGGGGCAGGCCTGGGGGTGGCGGACACACGCACACGCCAGATTGTGCACACACATGCTGTGAGGCCCCACGGCCCGCATGCACACTCTAACACATGCCCACAAACAACACGCATACGTCGCCCTCTCCGCCACCTCCCGGTGCCCAGCACCCTCACCGGCCGGCACGTGCCGCATGGATCTGGGGCGTGCAGCCACTCGGCACACTGAAGCACATGCGTGGGCAGAGTCACAACACAGATGCTCACCCGCACACAGAGGCATTTGCACCAGCTCCCTGCACACTCGTGCCTGGCGTGCTCAGAGGACCACCCATGCTGCTCAGGGAGACAGGGCTTGCTCACTAATGTCCGGCTGTCATTTCTCCACCTAAGAGCCTTCCATGGCTCCCTACTGCCTACAGCATTGAATCCCAACAAGTCATACTCTTTGGACTTTGAAGGTTCTCCACCCTGTGCCCCACCCTCCCCACAGAGCTCTTCATTCTGTCTCTGTTCCCTGCTTTGGCCAGTGGCTATCCTCATTGTGACCCACACTACACCTCTGCCCACACTGCAGCTCTTTACCCAGTTACCCTCCAGTTCCTCACAACGTATGCCTATCTCCGTCATGCCCCGGACTGCATTGAAGCCAGGCTGCCTTGAAGAAGCTCTCCCAGACTGCCCTTTTCCCCAAGGCAGGGTCATGATTTGCCAAAGGTTTCGTGTGTGTGTTAGCAAGACTGGAGTCAGAGCAGGCATCAAACTTTACATCCCATATGTCACACCTCACCATAGACCTGGGTGCCAAATAGCCTGAAGAGTCTGAACTCACGTTGGCAGTTAGGAAAGTGCTCCTACAGACGCATCTACGGTTAACATAGCATCCCTATGGCCACTGTCTCCCTTGATCCCCACAGCCATTCTAGGAGAAAGGCAGAATGTCATAATTTGCTAAAAGGGATGCTGAGGCTCTGGGAGGGAAAGGGACTTGCCTAAAGCCCCAGGGTGAAGCAGCATCTCTGGACTCCCAGTCCAGTGATCTTGCCCAATACTTTGCTGCTTGCCTATACCCCTCTAACTTGGTCAACAGCACATCACAGGGCAAGCCCCAATCCCTGCTTCATTTTTATATATGGGCGCTGGTCCCACAGCCCCACTCTCCAGCCATTTGGAAACAAAAACAGATGCTATTGTTCTTCCTTAGAGAACGTGGCCAGTGGAGACGGCACACTGGAAATCAGAGTGAATGTTCTTGAAAGAGGGTCACGGGTCAACAAGGCCCAGCCAAAGGATGCAGTAGAACCATTTTCCTTAGAAATCTTTGGGAGTGAAGTAGGCTTCAGCCACTCCCATCCCTGCCCTTGCGGCTACCACTACCCCATTAGTTTAGACAGGGTCGGGCGGGGAGGGGTGTGGAGAAGAAATGAGCTTGCCTGTGGCCCCCAGGCTCCCTCTGTCCTAGCTCAGGTCTGGGTGCCATTCTTTACACTCGTGTGCTCGCTCACGCACACATCACACACCTTGCTGGTCACACAGTCACAGACTCGCCTCTGCTCCTGTGGTCCAGTGGCCGGACACCCCCTGGGATGGCTCAAAGGAGTCAGGACTTGGAATTGGGGACATCAGGGTAGCTGAAGGAAATCCACACACCCAGAGCATCTCGGAGTTCAGACTCTCAGACCTGAAGTAGGCGCCCCCGGGACTGGGCTAGGAGTTGGACGGAATGGAGGATGGAGGACAGCGAGAAGAAAGGAAGAGAAATGCAAAGTGTGGGCAGCCGCCAAGAGTGAAAATAGAGGGAAGTGTCATGCAAGTGCTGGACAGAAGGCGGCAGGTGGGACGAGCCCCACAGCCCCCTCCTCAAAAACGACCACCTCCAGGACTCAGTGATCCCTGGGGGGCAGGCTCTGCCAGCCCTCGGCCACACGTGGCTCCGGCACCCATGGTCCCAGTGCCTTGGATGGAGACGGCCAGTTCTGGCGGCCAGATGTGGTGCTCTGGAATCCAGTCCCATTTCCTTCCTGGCCACGCCTGTCCAGCGGCCTCTTTGGCTGCATTCAGCCCCTACTTACCTGGGGACCCCGGCTGGGGCACAAGAGCACCAGGGGGGTAGGGCCCAAAGGGATCAGGGGAAGCCTCTGGCCTGGAGGGTATGGGGCACACTTCCCCAAGGGCGGACCCAGCAGGAGGAAGCCCAGGAGCTGGGTCCTGCCGCCCAGGAGCTGGGCCCTGCCACCCAGGCCGGGCTAGGGACATGGCAGGGCCTGGGCATCCTGGCGCTGGACTTGGGCGACCTGGGAGGCACAGGGAGGGGAGAGATGGGCGGCCCCGCCCCAGCGCAGTGCCGGCCACACCCATGCACCGAAGCTCCTCCCTGCCACACCCCAAGGCGGTTGCCGGAGCTTAAGCCCCGCCCCCAGCAGCGAGAACATCCCACCCCCCACCCCCCTGCAGCCAGTGCTCCTTGTCAAGCTCCCCCCGTCACTCCAGGTGGGAGCCACCCCGGTGAGGGGGTGTGCCACTTGCCCCCAGGGCACTCCTCTGGGCATCCCGGGTGGGGGATTTTGGGGCCGTGGGGGGCAGTCTCTGGTACCTGTGTGCGTCAGGGATGCTCTGCACCTGCAACCAGGTGTCGTCCACGGGCGGGGGCATGGGCATGGTGACAGTGGTCCTGTTGATGTCACCGATGATGCTGAGCGCCTCCTTCAGCGCGTGGTGCATGTGCAGCATCTCGTCGTGCTGCTGTGCCTGCTCTGCCAACTCCTCCATCAGTGTGTTCTGGTTCCCACATGAGTACATATTGGCCAGCGGCTCCGAGATGATGAACTCCGGGGTCTGAGAGTGGGCAAACAGGGAAGAAGGTTGGGACCTGGTGCCTGTGCCGCCCTGGCTGCCTTGCTGGGCCCTTCTGGGACTGTGCGCTGGACTTGGAGCCCCTTGGAGTATGGCTTTTCACACGGGCTTCTATACCGCTTCGACTGGAAGATCCACCTCCCCACTGCCTTTTCTCACTCAGATGGGGACACCGAGGTCCAGAGGAAAAGACACCTGTCAAATGTCACAGATCTGGGAGGGGACTTAAGACCTATCATGCCAAGAGGACACCTGTCTACTCAGTTTTTTTTTGGTGGGGCGGGGGGCGGTGATAGGGTCTCGCTCTGTCACCAGGCTGGAGTACAGTGATGACTGCTCACTGCAGCCTCCACCTCCTGGGCTCAAAGTGATCCTCCAACGTCAGCCTCTCGAGTAGCTAGGACTACAGGCACATGCCACCACCAAGCCCAGCTATTTTTAAAATTTTTGTGTGGAGACAAGGTCTCACTATGTGGCCCAGGCTGGTCTCGAACTCCTGGGCTCAAGTGATCCTCCTGCCTCGGCCTCCAGGAGTGGGAGTTGGAGTTGATGCCTGGATACAGGAGCTCTGTGGGTGGGAGTGAGACAAAACACAGGGTCCTGAGCTCTGGGGACCAAGCAATGTCCTCTGGTGAAAAAAATCCTGGACTTGCTGGCAGAAGATTTGCCTCTTACTCGCCATGTGCTCTGAATACATTTACCTGCCCTCTGGGAGCTTCAGTTTTCTTATCTGAAAAATGAGGACACCTGACCCCTTCCCTGCCCAGTTCAGTGTTGTGGGACAGGGTTGCTGTCAAGACAATACCCAGTCCTGCCCTCCTCCCTGAGTGGGCCAGGTAGCCCATGTAGCCTCTTCCCAGCTTTCCTGGGTGGCACTGCCAGCCTGGTGCCCATTCAATCTAGTCCTTCATCTTGCTGGAGCATGGGGAAGCTCTGAGTAACATGGGACTATAGAGTGCAAGAGGGTTGCTGATGGTCTGGGTCCTGTGCCCTCCTCATTCCTGGGCATTCTTGACAAAGGCTCCCAGCAACTGAGGGTACGCAGCAGCTGTAGACACCAGCCTGATGAATATCTCATTGTGGGAAGGGCACCATAGCAGGAGTGGAGCTCCAGGGAAATACAGAACCGAGGTCTGGGAGGTGCTGATGTGAGAGGCCCAAGAAACCTCGGCTTTGCACTTGCTGAGTACCATCTGCACCTCTCAGGAGGGAGAGCGCCAGGCTCAGGAGGTCCTTGCCGAAGCAAGGGAGCTTGAAAAGGGGGCTGGGGTGGGCTCTGCCATTTTCAAGGGCTGACAGGGATCCCCTCTGGAGGTACTTGGGGCAGTGCTGCGTGCCGTGGCTCCTGAGTGACAGAGTCAGCTCTGCGCCCCACAAGACCGCTCCCTGCCGAGAACTCACTGTGATCATGTGCTGGGTCCAGATGCTCACGCAGCCTCCTGATGGGAGCATCAGGTGTGCTGCCTGCCCAGGGCGGCCCACAAGAGTCTGCCCTGCCCTGCCCTGCTCTGCTATGGAACAACTCCCATTCTGCCTTTGGGGAGAGGTGTTCATTTAAACCATGAGTGGGCTGGCCCCCATGGCACAGTTACCACAGAGAGTCTGCCACTACCCATGGCTGAGAGCTCTAGTTCTTCTCTGAAGCCACCAGGACAGATGAACAGTGGCTTCCCCCTTTTGGCCGACTCAGCTGCCTTTCATCAGCTCATCTGCTCCTAGGATCCACTCTTCCTCTGGCTGGCACCTGATCTGAGCCCGAGGCTCACACCTCTGCCCACAGGCCCCAGCAGCTGCTTCACCTCCGACTCCATCCCCCACCAAGCACTGCCCCTCACCAGCTGCTGGGGTGCCACTAGTGCCCCTACATGGTTCTCCCTCTCCAGACCCTTGGGTCCAGCTCTAGCTTCCTTCGGGAAGCCACACCCCAAGACCCCAGCCCTGCTCTGGGGCCCTGTATCCCCGACTTCCTGCATTCTTCTCCCTCCTTCTGGGAACATGAACTTGCCCTGCCAGCCTGATGACTCCTAGAGGGCAGGACACCAGGTCCTGGACCATGGCAGGCCTGGGAGTGTCTGCTGCCGGTGATGCTGGAGCTGGTGCCCATGTCCACATGATGTCCATGGCACAGTGGCCACCTGAGGCTGGGCGCATCTGAGTGGTGGCTGCAGAGTGGGGCCCTTACCTCTCCCTGAGTGAAGTTCACCAGGTCCTCCCCTGTGCTGTCATGCTGGGCGTGGAAGAGCCGGCCTAGCTGGAGGCCCCGCACCACATGGTAGAGCAGGAGCTGGGGGTCGGTGCCTGCTGGCTCTGAGGCTCTGGCTGCTGAGTGGCTGGACGGACTCTGCCAGAGGCAAAAGGGGCCATCAGCCTTTGTGATCCAGGCCGAGGCCTGTGGCTGCAGAGAGGCAGTGTGACCCTGGCATGCCACCCTCAGCTCTGCCCCAGCCCCCCGCACCCAGGAACGCCCACAATCAGCACACCCACCTGGGCAGTCAGTGTCCGGCTGCCCTCCAGCGAGTGAAGCACTTGCTTCTGGGCCGTCACTCAGAAACTAAGTGTCTGGAGGAAGTATGTTCACCGTCAGAGAGGCCAAAGTGGATGCCTCCGTCCAGGGCCCCTGGGGACAAGGGTGTTGGGTCCAGCTGGCCTGAACTGGCTCCCCACCTCAGGGTGCCCCCGTGGGCAGCAGAAACCTGGGGCTCGGCCCTCAGCACCCACCTCTGTGTGAGAACAGCACGAGCCCACCATCCAGCTGGGTCTGCATGAAGCTGCGCACCTCAGTGCCCGGCACCGCCCACTGCACTACCCACCCATTGCTGGGCTGCTTAATGGTGTACACCAGGTCCTTGGGCCCAGAGTAACCATCCATGCTCCTCAGAGCCTCTGTAGGGATGGGCACGGTGGCCCCCTCCCACATCTGGGGACACAGGCCTGTGAAGGTTCTGCCCTGCCACACTTACCCACCCCTTCCTCCCCGGCCCTGGGCTGCCACCAGGGCTCCAACCCCACTGAGGCTCAGGCCCTCAGGTGGCATCAAGGCTGGCGCTGCTGTGGCTCCCCTGCACAAATGGCCTCCCTGCATTCACCTTCCCTGTCACCCCAGGGAAGGCCACCCTCCAGGCCCAGCATCCCTGCTCTTCATCTGTCCTAGTCCTGTGTGTCCCTCAAGACCAGCTTGTGTACCCAACCCAGGAAGGCCCTAGCTCTTACCGTCACCAAGTTCTCACCCCCAGAAACCCCCAGCGCTGACCAACAGTGCTCCTTAATCTAGCTCACTGGTGGGGCAGCAGTCTCCTTTCAGACCCTCCATGTGTGCCTGGCAGGGGCTGGGCACAGGTGGGAACAGTGATTTTAGAAACGAGCACTCCTTCCAGCTAAGGGAGGGGTGGGAGGCGCAGAGAGCTGAAGCCTGATGGTTGGCACTGTCCTGCAGCACAGAAGCAGTGCTGGGATGGGCCCAGGTGCTTCCAGAGCAGTTACGGGCCCTCCTCGTGTTGGGCAAAGGGGGCCCCTTTTCAGGCCTCCCACTAGCAAGCAGAACAGGCACCCGTTCCTGAGGTCCTGGTACCACTCTTGCTGGGTCAATTACTTGTGGGCAGTGCTGCAGTGGGACTCACATGCCCAGAAAACAGCCCTCTGGCATTCCTGGGCTTCCTCCCCTGGCCGCAGGGAGCCCTCAGGCCGAGCCTTGGCAAGAGGGGCCATACTGTGGGAGGCAGGGCCCCATCACTGGGCTCCCGGAACAAACACGGGTAGATGGCACCACCTGGTGGCCGCACTGCCACACAGCCATCCCAGCCTGTGGTTCCAGGGTGCTGTGTCCCACTCTTCTGTGGCGTCCACACCATGAGGCCACCCCCTACAGGCACATCCTAGACCACCAAAGCCCCCCGGTGCCCCATGTCAGAGACAGCCCAAGTCAGCCCTCTTGCGGAACCTTCAGTGGCTTCTGCTGACTGGGGAGGACGCGCCCCAGAAGCTGGGGTTCAAAGCCCTGCCACGTGGGCTTAGTAAAGCCATGCCCTTTCTGTTCCACCAGAACTACTTTTGCAATCATGGAGAAGTTCCATCCCATCTCTGGGCCTCAACTTCCACCTTTGCCAAATGGGGGCCCTGCTCTGCTGTGGACAAGGGGCAGGAGTTTGGGAAGCCAAGCTGAGGCCTCCACTTGCTGGGGTGAAGGTGGGAAGCTTAACGGTCCCACCCTGACGCCAGCCCTTAAGGGCTTGTAAGTGATTCTTTCAGGTGTTCTGGTCCTAAGCCACAGGAGAAGGAACAGCAGAGCCACCCATGGCTGCTCAGAAGTCTGCCTACCGTACTTGCAAATGTCCAATAACAAAACCTCCCACCTGTGTTCTATTTCAGCACAATCTCACATCTCTCCTTCCAACAACTGCGTGAGGCACACAGTAGTGTCCTCATTTTGCAGAGGAGGAAACTGAGGCTCAGAGGGGGGGAGATCTGTGCCGGGAAGTAGGGGACATTGGCCTCTTTCTCAAAGCAGACATGGGGGGTGGTCCCAGGAATATGCTCACCTGCAGGCCTGAGTTTGTATGAGGTCGGGGGTTGGCCATTGACAGGCAGGATGGTGACAGTGAAGGCCACAGGATGGCTCTGGCGGTCCATCTCAGAGGCATTAGCCATCAGGACAAAACCGTCAGTGTCTTGCTCCCATCGTGCAGGTACTGGATCAGATGCTCTTCCACCTAGGGGCAGGCCCAGGGCTGGCAGTCAGGCCCCAGCAGTACCCTTCATGTTCTGCCTTTGGGTGCAGGAAGAGACTGACCCTTTTAGGGCCTCAGCTTCCATTGGTGGAAAATGGGGACCATAAGTTCTGGTTCCCAGAGGAGTTGTGAGGAAGAAAGGGGATATTTTATTTTATTTTGAGACAGAGTCTCTCGCTCTGTTGCCCAGGCTGGAGTGCAGTGGTGTGATCTCGGCTCACTGCAACCTCTGCCTCCCAGATTCAAGCGATTCTCCTGCCTCAGCCTCCTGAGTAGCTGGGACTACAGGTGCGGGCCACCACACCCGGCTAATTTTTTGTATTTTTAGTAGAAACAGGGTTTCACCGTGTTAGCCAGGATGGTCTTGATCTCCTGACCTCCTGATCTGCCCACCTCGGCCTCCCAAAGTCCTGGAATTACAGGCATGAGCCACAGCGCCCAGCCCGAGATACAGCATCTAAAGCATAGGTCTTTCTGAAATGTGACTCCCTGTCTCCTCTCTGTATAACCCCTGGACTGGGAGTCCCCGGGGCTCCCTCCACTCTGCCCCCAGAGCTGGGCTGCAGCCCCTGGGCCTCTCTCACAGCCGTACCTCTCTCCAGCAGAAGGTGCTGAGGGTCCTGGCTTGAGGCCCATCCTCCTTCTGCAGGGCCCCATGCCGGGGTGGCTCCAGCACCTGCAGGCCAAGGCCCGGGAGAGTGGGGAAGTAGGACCTGGCAACGCGGAGCAGTGGAGGGGCCAGGGTGCAGCTGCGACTGTGCCCCCTCTACTGCTGAAGTTTTGTGCCCCCAGTGGGGATGACAGCAGGCAGCACCTCCAGCTCCACGTGACGTCCTCAAGGGGAGCACCCAGGCCGAGGCCACATCCAGCGAGAAGGCATGGCTCCGGGCCTCAGGGCGGGAGTGCAGGTAGAGGATCCTGCCTGTGTCCACTGCCTCTTGGGAGAAGCTCTGCACGGGGTCCAGGCTGGGTGGCTCATCTGCCAAGATGCCACGCAGCACCATCACCAGGTAGCCGGCACTCGGTGGGCTCTTCACTGAGAAAACGATGTCTGCTGGCGGCACTGCCTCCTGGGCTACCTGGTTAACAGAGGTCATGAGGACTCACAAGGGAATGCAGAGGGGTCTCAGAGGGGCCCACTGTGGCCCTAAGCAGCCAGAACAGCCTTGATCTTGCTCCACTTATTTCCCCAGATACCACTGCTCATTTAGTGACACACACACATGTGGGTTCACACACACAGCAGCCAGACATGCAGCTGGTCACATTTTTTGTTTTTTTGAGACAGGGTCCCACTCTGTCACCCAGGCTGGAGTGCTGTGGTGTGATCACAGCTCCCTGCAGCCTCAACGTCCTAGGCTCAAGGGCTCAGCCTCCCAAGTAGCTGGGACCACAGTCATGTGCCACCATGCCTGGCTAATTTTTAAATGTTTTGTGTAGAGATGGGGTTTCACTGGGTTGCCCCAGCTGGTCACATGTTAATACCCACCCCACACATGGTTACGGGGTGTCGGTCAACAGCTTGAGATGCACTCCCTCAGGGAGGTGCATAATCACATGTCCCCAGACTCAGTGACACAGACATATGAGTTCATCAGATGCTGACGCAGTCACACAGGTACAGGTACACATGCGTGTGTGCACACGCACACAGGCCCCCTGCTCAGGATCTGTTCAGGCCTGTGGCTGGTTTGCTGGCAGCATCCTCCCCAACCCCTGCTATTACCACCCAGGACCATCAGAGGGTGCCCTGCCCCACCCCACCCCACCCCTCCTAGAGGCACAGGCACCCCCAGCACAGGCCCTACAGAGCTCACACCCCAAAGGCCACATGGGCTCCCTCACCTGATGGGCCATCCACAAGAGGCTAAACTGCCTCCAAACTCACATTCCTGTTTTGTGCCTTCGGCCGGAATGTTCCTTTTGCGTGGAATACCACTCCCCATTCTCTGCTCCTAATGGCCTGTACTCTTCAGAGCCCGGCCCAAACACTGCCTCCTCCCATGAGGCCTTCCTGATGCCAGATCTGCTGGCTCACCATGGGCCCCAAGCTCCAGATGCAGACCAGAAGGGTCTCCGAAATAAGCAGTGTGGAAGAGTAAGGCTGAGAGCGGGCAAGGACTGGCCTGAGGTCACAGGGCATGTCAGATCTCTGGAAGGCCCGTGGCTGCTCTGTGGGGTTCCTGGGTGAGCAGAAGCCCTTGACAGACCCTCCTGGTCCTGGTCTGGGCTCTGAGAAGAGAGCGGGGTACACAGGGGTCTGAGAGGCAGCGGCCTGTCTCCACGGCCAGCAATCCCAAAAGTTCAGGACCCGTGATGCCCTCCCAGGGAACTGACTGCAATGCAGATTCTCGGGCTCCACTTCAGAGATTCTGTAGGGCTGGGTGGCGTCCAGGAATCTGCATGCTCAGCCATGCCATGGACATGAGTGGACACCAGCTCTAGAGGCACACACCACTCCCAGGAGGATGGGTGTACAGCAAGCTCCCCAGAAACTCTTGGGAACACAACATATATGGGAGCACATCTGAGGCACGTGCACACACACAAGCTGGGACCACCACAGGTACAGCCCAAGTCACATGTGTTCCCGGCATGGAGGCTGGGAGGAAGGCCCTCTACCTGGTCCACACCCCGCTCACCACCTCCAGCTCCTCACCTCCAGCTGGTCCCTTCTGATCTCAGCTGCCTCTCCCTGGAAGATGTAGATCTCCTTGTGCTGGGCCAGCTTCAGTGGGGCTACTGGGCCCTCTAGGGCAATGGTCACTTGTAGGGTGGCATCTGTGTGCACTGGTCCCACATCCATTGAGAAGGCCAGGGTGTTGCGGGAGCTGAGGCTGCCATTGTGGCCATAGAAAACAGCCCCAACCAGCAGGTCCTGCTGAGAGAAGGCTGTGGCTGGCTGAGTGGCTTGGAGCAACTGTCCCCAGTGAGGGCTGTCTGTGACGTGGTAGTGGGCCTCATCCCTACTGCAGATGTTGAGGTTGGTGCCCAGGTGGAGCTCGGCCATGTTGATGGTACCCTGGCCTCCTTGAGGAACCATGAGGCCGGAGCCATTGGCCACACAGAGGTAAGGCTCCAAGGCCTGCACCTCCAGCACCGTGATGGCCTGGTGCTGCCCATCGGACACCTGCAGCGGGATCCAGCCGTGGTCAGCCTGAGTGTGTGAACAGGACTCGCCTCTTCCTGAGGCCCCTCCTGGATGAAGCGGCAGATGGGCTGCATGGGCTCATCCGTGGCCATGATACTGCCAGAGAGGAGGTCCTGGTGGGTCAGCACCAGCTGGGCCTCAGCAAAGCCCGAATCAGCATTGCTGAAGGCCATGTTGTCTGTAGTCAGCAGCCGCCACCTACCCCAGGCCACGTGGAAGACGCAGCTGATGGTCTGCATAGGGGCGTGGTCATTCACAGGCTGGATGGCCACTCAGAAGACACCCCATACCTCCTCCCAGGCCACGTCACCACTGCTCTGGTCCTGATGGCAGCAGGAAATGGGATATCATCTTCTAGTGATCTCAGAGTCATCATGCTGCTAGACCAGCTGGCCATGCATCAGGTCTCCATTGGTGAAGGATGTCACCATAGTGATCTTGTCCTGTGTCCCACGCCAAGTCAACCTCCCATGGCGGGGCTGCTCCATGACCTCATAGAGGTACCTGGCACTGTTGAGACTCTTGATGAAGAGCTGGTCAGCAGAGAGGACACACCCACCACCCTCGGGCACCACGAGGACAGGCATGTCTGGGTCACCGCCAATATGGATGGAGAAGGTACAGAGTGGGGAGAAATATGGTGGAGCTGTGACATGGAAACAGAAGGTGTCCTCCACTGCCACTGAGGCACGTGCCATGGCCCCATAGGTCACCTCTGCAGCCTGTACGTCATCCTGGGTGAAGCCCTGACCGTCTGACAGCATCGTGCCCTGTAGTTGAAAGTTGCCTTTCCTGGGAGCCTGAACCACCTCACAGTGGAAGGTTGGGGGGCTTGGGCCTGCCTCCTCCAGGGTGGCCTCCAGGTGGGCTGTGGTGAGGGCCTCCTGCTGGGTGTTCTGAGTGTGCAGTGGCTCCAGCTGCAGCATCCACACAGTGGCTCTCTGGATGGTCACTAGGAAGGACAGATTGCTCAGGATTTCCCAGCTCACCTGCACCTGCAGATCCAGGTTCTCCACGGTGTCCTCGGTGTAGTGCTGTGGGTCAGTGCTCAGGTACCTCACGTGGCCCTGCTCCACATCCTGCTGGTGGAACGCCTGTGTGACCCACCACTCAGCATCCTCCACCCCACCAGCCCCCTGCTTCTGCAGCTCCCTGAACGGCAGGCCTCCGGTGACACGGAACAGCACGGTCACATCCTGCCCCACGGCGCTGGTCTCCACCAACAGGTTGGTAGGCAAGATGGGCATGGCAGAGCCCTGGGCCAGATGCAGCCCTGTGCTGCGGTGGATTTGTATGGCCAGCTGGACAGCCACCACCTTCAGCATGGCCGGGGGGCTGGCCTGCAGTCCATTGCTGACCCGGAATGTCAAGTCCTGTGTAGGGCCACCACAGTGGACATAGACTAGGCTGCCGGCCTCCAACTCCCAGCAGGAGAACTCAGTCACCGGCTCCCCAGGCTGGTCTCGGTGCTCCATGGGGAGGCCAGAGGGGGTGCCAAGGAGCTGGAAGGCGAGGCCCTCACAGGCAGAGTCCAGGTCATAGGCCTGGAGAACCTCAGGCCCCAGAGGCTTCTGTGTGTGTTCCAGGATCACCATAAGGCTGCCATGTGGGAAGATGATGTGGGGTGGGTCATTGACAGGGTTGACCTGGATGGGCAGGAGGTCTGTTTGGCCCCTCCGCAGGCATGAGGGCATGGGCAACCAAGCCATCACTGACACCTCCAGCACCAGCTGGTCAGAGGTGTCCTCAGGGCCATCGTGGATGAAGCGGGCCTTGCAGTTCACCACGTCCAGGAGGGTGAACATTTTTCATGCCTGGGCACCCAGGACATCCAGCTCGAGCTCGCTGTAGTGTGCCCCTCAGGTCACGCTGAACAGCACCTGGGATTTACGCAGTTCAGCCTCCATCAGTGCCAGCATGGGCTGCACATGCCACCACTCAAGCCAGGCTGTGCCACCCTCGGTCACCACCACTGTGCTGATAGCAGCTGGATGAAATTGGCAAAGACAGGAGGTAGCCCTGGCTCAGGCACGCATGGCTCAGCTAGCTCCACGGACAGCCAAGCCTTGGGAGCCAGGGTGGAGAAAGCTTCATAATGGCCATAGGCATTGTCTACCTCCTCCAGTCTGCAGCCAGCCACCATGTTGTGCGTCAGCAAGGCTTCCCACAGCCCCTGCCTCTAGCCATTGACACTGAGGTCTTCCATGCAGCCAGCCCAGCAGGGAGGCATTGGCAGCCCCTGGTGTCAGGCCTGAGCGGTGTTCCTGGAGGTGATGAGAGGCCTCTGCAACCAGCTCCCCAAGAAGGAGACTGTCACGTGGCTCCAGGTAGCTGAGGACTCCTCAGTTCGTGTGGGGTACTGGTCCATGGAGATTTCTAGCTGGTGAATGTTGATGTGGATGCTGACCTTGTGGGGCTGTGCGTCAGTCACAGGCACACTGTTGAGGAGCAATACAGTACCCTGGCCCTTCTCAACCATGGACCACAGGTGGCCCTCAAATATGTCCACATGGATGAAGTCCCCATGCCAGCCTGCTGCCTGGAAGGCCAAGGGTGCCTGCCAGCTCTGTGTGGTGAGTGTAAACTCCAGGGTTCCTTCATCCTGAGTGCCCCAGGCAGGCAAGGCAGCCAGAGAGTGGGACCCAGAGAAGCCCAGGGCCACATCATCATTGGCAGAAAACTCTTCAGCACAGCCCTCATGCTTATTGGGGGTCAGAGGCTGGAGGAGTCTGCGGCCATTGAGAGCGGCTGCATGGAGGCAACCCCTCAGGGGATGGCTGGTTCCCCTCAGGTAGGGCAGGCCAAGTCTCCCAGTGCTCCCAACAAAGAGCCCATAGGGGACTTCTAGGGGGGCTCCCAGGACTACAGAGGAGGCATTCAGAAACCCATTGACTGACAATGTGGGCCAGTCCTCTGAGACAGTCAGAACTGTGGTGTGGGGGACGGAGCCACTCAGTAGAATTTCTGCTGGGGTCTGCAGCCTCAGCTCCTCCTGGCCCAGGACAAGCCTGACCTGAGGAGAGACGGGGAATGGGAGATGGGGGGCAGCACTTTGAATCCATCATTTCCCTTATAAAAGCACAGTGGGTTCCCCACAGGGGGCCCCAGAGCAGAAAACCTAGGACAAGGGCCTCTGGTGCCACTCCTCTTGCCTTCCTGCCATCTCTTTATTCATCCTCCAAACACTCACCAAAGGAAACTCTGGGCCAGGCCTGGATGGGCTCTGGGGACCCTGGTGTGAATCAGATGTGGTCCTTGCCCACAAGGAACTGACATATAGCAAGATGCTCTTCTAGAAACCCAACCTGTATTTTTAAATTCTCCTCCTCTTTCCTTGAGTGAAAAGCACCAGAAATATTGTCTTGGAATCTAGATTTCACCCCTGGAATAATGGGTAACTGAGAATCCGTTGATCAGTCCCCCTAAGTTTGGCAAAGTTTCTCGAGGTCACTGAAGGAAGCCAGGCTAACTGTTCAGGGACAGGGAGCCCAGGCAGATGCTCTGTGTTCTGGGAAAAAAAAAAAAAAAAAAGCTGCCTGACCTGTGGTGGAGGAATATCTCAAGGAGAGATGAAGGACATAGTTCTGTCACCATGACATTGACACAAGAAATGGCTCTGGTATGGTGCTCCCAGATGCTAGAATAGGTGATGGCAGAGTATGGGAACTGCAGAGGCAGAACACTAAGAACCATGATCTTGGAGTCCTGGTATGGTGCATCTCTGTAGGGATGTGGCATCACTACCTGCAGAGCTCAACAGCCATCAGCACCAGACTGCACCACATAGGTGTTCAACAGTGACACCTTGTGGCAATGAGCAGCAATGACAGCAGCAGACTGACCAAGCCCTAGTCCTCTTCCCACTGGGGTGTGGAAAGAGATGGCTGCCCCAAATTTGTTAATTTGTTTTTTTTTTCCTTCTAAAATAGAGATGGGGTCTCATTGTGTGGCTCAGGCCAGTCTTGAACTCCTAGGCTCAAGTGATCTTTCCACCTTGGTCTCCCAAAGTGGTGGGATTATAGGCATAAGCCACTGCACCCAGCCTGCCCCAAATTTGGACTAAGACCCTGGGTTCTTAAACTCTTCCTGGTATGGGGTAAGACTCAAGTAGGAGCCACAAGACTCCTTGATAATAAAGCTTGTGGTGTCTTGAAGGATGAAATGGAAAAATGAAGCTGAGGCAGTACTGGTGCTGTTACTCTCATGGACAGACAGTGGTGCTGCAGATAAATTGGTGCAGTGCCACCAGGATGCGCAGGGGTCATGGGGGCCCAGGAGGGGGTCTCGCCGAGGAGGAGGGGATGCCCACACTGAAACTTCAAGGAGAGACTAGAGTTCGGCAGGTACAGGGAATGGGTGGGTCACACACCTGGCAGGAGGAGTGTGATGACCAAAGGCCTGGCAGCAAGTGACCATAAGATGGCCAGGAACTGAAAGCAGTTCAGTGCAGTCAGAGCACAAAGGGCCAGTGAGGGCTTGTGGTGGGAAACATGGTTGGAAGGAGCCGGTGGGCAGAGCCAGTTCATGAAGGATTTACCATTTCTGAGCTGCTGCTGCCCATCCCACAGTGGAGAACTTGAGACCCCAAGAAAAGTGACTTACACAAGGTCAACAGCCAGCTGGGGTTCACTCAAAGCTAGACAAGGAATCTCGCCCCAATCCCAGGGGGACGTCACTCACCTGCAGGTGTCCAGAGTAGAGCTGCAGCAGGAGGTGGTCAGCTGGGCCTGCTGCCAGGAGAAGGAGGGCTTCGGGTTGGGACATGGAGAACTGCAGCTGCAGGTCTATGTCAGTCAGAGCCATGGCCACAGTCACCTCCGGGTGGTTCTAACCAAAGAAGGAAGCTGTGTGAGAGAGGGAGCTGTGGTCAAGGCTCAGATTCTTGCCTGGAGGAGGCGAGGTGCTGCAGGGAGGGATGGGTGGGTTGCAGAAAGGGGTCCGTGCTGGTGCACCCTCATGGTTCTGCCATACGGTGCTGCCTCTGAGCACTGCCCAGATCCCAGCATTTCCTTGGTCCTGGCACCAGAAAGCACAGCCTCACCTTGTGTCCAGCCCAGACCTTGACTTGGCAGGAGGTCAGACCCAGAAATTCCCAGCAACTCAGGTCTCCTCCTTGGAGGTTCCTGGAGCCAGAGGCCTCTGCCAGCTCTGACTCACCTCCCCTGGGCCCCAGAGGAGTCTCCCTCCCAGGTCTGGCTCCCCGACCTGGCCCAAAGGGAAACATCACTGGCCTGATCACCTGGCTTGGTGGTCACAGCCCTGAGGAATGGAGTTTCTGGAGAATCACCACCAGGCCAGATCGATCCCTGCTCAGATTCCTTCTCCTAAGTGCCCTTGTGCTTGGGCTCCTGTGCAGCACCTGCCGTGCCATGCCCCACCTCCATGGGTTGGCTGGGGCCACGGCTGGGATCTGGGGGTGATGTCAGTGCAGCCCACCTATCCCTGCTTCTCCCTCAGGCCATTCTTCCAGCTGCCATTGAGGGTGGGGGCAGGAGCTTATTGGCCTGAGTTTGCCAAGGAGTAAAGGCTCTCAGGCCAGATGGGGACCATATGCAGTGTCAAACCAAAGTGGGCCCACACTTCCTCCACTACCCCTGCTGTTGCTTCCTGCTAGAGAGCTATTCACAGTCCCCGCTGAGCAGTCAGATCCGGCCCCATTGTTTCCACCGTGGCCAAGGAACCAGGGATGAGAACAGCTCAGCTCCCAACCTCCCCAGGCCACCACTCAGTCTGAGGCTGAAGACAGGGCCTAGAAGGGGCTGAGGGTCTGCTGAGCAGGCCAAAGAGGGCCTCCCCAGGCAGAAGGCCATGTCTGGGCTTGCCTGGGATTAGTGGTTCTTATGCAGGGCCTGTTCTGTCCCACACTGGGACTCCTCCTCTTTTGAGTTGCTGCTTCCTCCAGGCAGTTTCCCCAAATTAGCCTCCCTGACTTCCAACCCGATGCCATAATTTCTGGTCTATGCCTTTTGCGGTGATAAGAGCCAAATATAACTTTAACTTTGCCTGCAGATGTCCAGGGCTGGGGGGCAGACAAACACAGGTTAAAAACTGTGATTCATCCCTGTTGGGTTTCCCTCAAACCCCAAGAACAAGCACAGGCTGATGGCCTTGATGGGGTGATCCAGCACCGACCTCACATGCACTGGTCCCTAGCCAGCCTGAGCCAGCTGCCATCTGCTCGAGGAAGTAGCTTCAGCCATTGGAGGAGTTGGAGGTTTGTATACCCTCAGGGCAGCCAGTCCTACCTGGAGGGATATCCAGGAAAGATCCCGTAAGAGCCCCTCGGGTTGAGTTAAATCCCCTCTAGTTATCCCCTCCTCCTGCTAGCACTGCTGGCAACACCAGCACCTTGGCTGGGAAGCTAAGGGAATCAAGCAAGCCCCGCAGACCATCTGCACGGGGGTGGCCCAGCAGTCTCAGCAGGCACAGCACAGCTTGGTGCCAGCAAGAGACAGACCAGGGAACTGCAGGTGGCGGCCAGCTACTGGGGTGCCTTATCTGCAAAGACATTGATTCCTAAGAGCAAAACACAGCACACTAAAGTGAGGGAGGCCATAGCACAAGGGGTGGGGGCACATGGCCCTGCAGGATGGAGCCACCACAGTCACCGGCTGGAACGGCTCACAGCAGCTGCCAGGAGCCAACTGTTGAATTTTCAGGAATTTTGAGAGGCAGGTGATACTGCCCACAGTGGGAATATTTATACCAGGAAAAGAGGCAAATACTGAAAATCAGGGTTCCCTCTCCCCAAGAAAGCCCTTTGCGAAACATTTACCTACCCAGCACCCACGGGGAAGGGGGCACATCTCCCTGTACCTACCCACCTGTGTTAATCAGGGTTCCCTAGAGGGACAGAACTAATAGGAGATATAGACAGATATAGATATAGATAATAGATATAGATATAGATATAGATAGATATATAAAGGGGAGTTTATGAAGTATTAACTTACATAATCACAAGGTCCCACAATAGGCTGTCTGCAAGTTTGAGGAGCAAGGAGAGCCAATCCGAGTCTCAAAACTGAAGAACCTGGAGTCCGATGTTAGAGGGCAGGAAGTGTCCAGCATGGGAGAAAGATGTAGGCTGGGAAGCTAGGCCAATCTTACCTTTTCATGTTTTTCTGCCTGCTTTATATTCGCTAGCAGCTGATTAGAAAGATGGTACCCACCAGTATTAAAGGTGGGTCTGCCTTCCCCAGCCCACTGACTCAAATGTTTATCTCCTTTTACAATGCCCTCACAGACACTTCCAGTAGGTCAATACTTTGCAGCCTTCACCCCAATCAAGTTGACACTCAGTATTAACTGTCACACCACCCTTGCACTAAAGGTATACATACACCCACTAGGGCATGGTCAACGTCAGAGATCTGGGCCAGACAGGAACTGAAGTAGATGGTTGGCCCTAACCACTGAACCACCTGCCTGCGGCCTCCTCCCATCAGAAGAGAGTAGAGCCTGTTTGGCCAGAGTGGAATGGTGGCAGGAAGCAGAGGTACTTTCCGGAGCGCTGGGGTCTGAATGGGTCCATTGAGGCTGGGCCCTGCTGCTTCCTGTAGGGCTGAGTGGGAGAGGCTCACAGAGGCTGCCTTGTGCAGCTGGAGCGCATAGCCAGGGAGGCCCCCACTCCAACAGAGGCCTCTGAGGCCTTGCTGGCCGGGGCTTTGGAAACTCTGACAGCGCTGCTTCCCTCACCTCTTGATCTCCTTTTTCTGCCCCTCTTACACTCTCTGAGGGGCTGCAGTTGCAAGAACCCAGAATCTCTGTCTTGGAGGTAGTGGGGGGTGGGCAGTTGAAGAGGGGCTTTGAATGGAGAGGGTCTGCACAATAAAGATGTAATAAGCTAGGAGTCAATCCAGAGGACTTCCTGGAGGAGGTGATGGTGGTGTAGAGTCACAGAGAGGGAGGAATAGGCAGTCTCAGAGGACAGCAGCAAGGCCAAGTGAGAGACTGGCAGAGGTATACAGGTCCCCGCTGGGTGGGGTGAAGAGGGTTTCTGCTCCCTCACCCCGCAGAGCCTCTGGCTTATCACAGGATAAAAGCCAGCTAAGCTTCAGGGGCTTTCCAGGAAAAGTGTCTCTTGGAAAGGGTGTGACCTTTTCATCGGTCCTGACAGCACCCTAGAAATGGCTTGGTCTTTTCCCTCCCCTGAGCTCCACAGAGAACACAGCCAGCAGAAGACACATTCCCTGTCATCCAGAAATGGGTTTGATTCTCAGCTGAGGGACAGCAGGACTGGTAGAGACTGTCAGGCCACACAGCTACCTACAGAGCACCCCCATGCTTGGTCGGGGGTGGGAGGGATGGCAGGGTCTGGCTGTCCACAGGCCGGGCATGACAGTGGGGCGCACTGGAAGTGGCGCACTTTGGAGGGGCAATGTCAGGGGAGAGCTTCCTCTTGTTGGGCCACAAGACTCCACAAGGACAGCACGGTGACTGATTCCCAATGCTAGAGGCGAGGCAATCGGTCATGTGTAGGTGTATGTGTGTGTGTGTGTGGGTGTGTGTGTCTATATACACACACATATGTGTATATATATATGAGGGTGTGTGTATGTGTGTATATACATTATTTATTTAGATGGAGTCTTGCTCTGTCACCCAGGCTGGACCTCAGTGGTGCGATCTCGACTCACTGAAACCTCTGCCTCCTGGGTTCAAGCAATTCTCCTGCCTCAGCCTGCCGAGTAGCTGGGACTACAGTCACCTGCCACCACACCGGGCTAATTTTTGTATTTTTAGTAGAGATGAGGTTTCACCATATTGGCCAGGCTGGTCTCAAACTCCTGACCTTGTGATCTGCCTGCCTCGGCCTCCCAAAGTGCTGGGATTACAGGTGTGAGCCACAGCACCCAGCTATTTATAGATATTTATAGAATATGACCTCAACTATTTAAACATATCTGTAAGGGTATAAGTACTTTGATAACAAAGAAGCAATACATACTGATAGAAACTAGCTATCATGTCAACAGTAGTTATATTAGGTAGAGAAATTATGTGAGATTTTTATTTTTTTATATTTTACTAATCTTCTCAATAATGGTTGCTTATAAGTTTTATAATCAAGAAAGAAAGGTTTCTAAAGTTTTTGCAAAATGGAAAGTTATGCTTCTTTATATACTAAAGACAAAAACAAAACTTCCTATTTGAATACCTTTGACTTTTACTGCAGACTTACAGACCCTTGAAAGAAAAGGCAATCCCCTCCCACTAGTTTTGGTGTCATTCTCCCCATCTCTCCCTTCACTTCCACCTTGGTCTTCTTTCTACTTCCCACCTTGGCTAGTGGTCTCCACCCAAAATGCTTGCTTGGCTTAATGGTTAGAATTCAGGGAAAAAGAGATCCCGAATTGCTAATCTAAACTAAGATTATACATGTGGGAAATAATAAAGAGAAACCAGGTAGTAAATAAGATTTGGAGGACTTAAAATACCCAGACTTTAATTCCTCTAAGATTATAGTTATGAATCATGTTTTTATATAATATTATCTCTTAACATTTAAATTCTAAATATAATGTTCATGAGGAAAAGAGAAAATAGCTTGGTTTCTTTCCTCACCAAACTGTTGTCCTTAGTATCTTCTAGACATTCCAGAACTGATGTCAGATTTGGCTCATCAGAGTCCACAGACCATATCGGTGAAGAAGATGAATAGGATTCCTGTTTAACCCAGAGACACCTATGTTAAATGTTTACATACAGACTAACCCAAATATGCAATTAAACCACACCACTAAATGGCAAGATGACCATGGATTTAAACAAAATGTATCAGGGGGAAAAGGCAACACGTTTAAACCCATGTGAGGAGCTGGACTTCTGAGACAGCCATTCTCCTTGCATAGCACTGTCTGCTGCTACAGCTCATAGAAGTCAACAATTTTCTTCAACACTGGTAGGCAGCCTCTAAATGGCCCTGATCACCCTCACCTCCTGCCATTCACACCCTTGTAAAATTCCACCCCTGGACCTAGTGACTCACTTCTAACAAAGAGAATACAGCAAAAGTAACATCGCTTCTGAGGTGAGGCTACAAGGAGACTACGATGCCTGCCTTGGTCACCCTTCTCCTGCTCTTTCCATTGCTCCCTCTGATGGAAGCCAGTTGCCATGTGATGAGGTGCCCTATGGAGAGGCCCACGTGACAAGGTATTGTAAAAGGCCTCTGACCAATAGCCATCTAGAAACGGAGGCCCAGTCCAGCAGCCTCTGAGATGATTCCTGCCAATGTGAGCTTGGAGACAGATTCTCTCCCTATCCTGCCTTGGGATGATCACAGCCGCCATCAACACCTTCACTGCCTGGTGAGAGACCAAGCCAGTGAACCCAAGATAAACTGCACAGAATTCTGACCCACAGAAACTGTGAGATAATGTTTGTTGTTTTAAGCTGCTAAATTTGTTACAGAGCAATAGATAACTAATTCAAACACCATAAAATTCTAACATTTTATTCTATCACACAAACCAAGTAATACCAATAAATGCCATTACTATACATATATTTTTGGAACACAATTACATGTGATTTTTTTTGAAAAGCTAATGAACTAAGCATTATGTGCTTTCACCCACTAATAGACATTTACTCTGTTGTAGGATTTTCCATTATAAATTGGAGAAAAGCCATTATTATTATATATTAGCTTCAGAAGAACTAGGTTCAAGTCACGGAAATCCATGAACACCGTGGAAAACCAGAAAAACAAGTTGGCCGGGCGCGGTGGCTCACGCCTGTAATCCCGGCACTTTGGGAGTCCAAGGTGGGTGGATCACGAGGTTAGGAGATCGAGACATCCTGGCCAACATGGTGAAACCCCTTCTCTACCAAAATAAAAACAATTAGCCAGGTGTGGTGGCACGTGCCTGTAGTCCCAGCTACTCAGGAGGCTGAGAGAGGGGAATCGCTTGAACCCAGGAGGCAGAGGTTTCAGTGAGCTGAGATGTGCCACTGCACTCCAGCCTGGAGAGAGAGCAAGACCCCATCTCAAAAAAAAAAAAAAAAAAAAAAAGAAAAGAAAAGAAAAACAATTTGTATTGAAGGAGGACATCATTAACAGTATATCTCTTCAATAATGATTTATGTTACTATTCTCATTCCTCTCTCACAGTGTCCCAAATCTCTTTACAGGCTAAAAGAAACTTTTCAGAATTAATCCTATTCTTTTTTTTTTTTTTTTGAAACGGAGTCTTGTTCTGTCACCCAGGCTGGATGCAGTCGTGCGATCTTGGTTCACTGCAAGCTATGCCTCCAGGGTTCACACCATTCTCCTGCATCAGCCTCCGAAGTAGCTGGGACTACAGGCGCCTGTCAACACGCCCGGCTAATTTTTTGTATTTTTAGTAGAGACGGGGTTTCACCATATTAGCCAGGGTGGTCTCGATCTCCTGATCTCGTGAACCGCCTGCCTTGGCCTCCCAAAGTGCTGGGATTACAGGTGTGAGCCACCATGCCTGGCCCAATCCTATTCTTGAAGAATACCACTTACTGAGTACTGCATTTTCTTCTCCAAATTCTTCAGCATACATTGGGAATACACCATATGGACCATTTTTACATTTTTAGTTTTGGGTGTTTTATTTGTTTGTTTGTTTGTGGCTAAAGAAACTGCAACTAGATTTAGGACCTCATTCTATTAGGTTAGTATCTGTCTACTAAACTTCAGCATAAGCAAAATAAAATACATGTTGTTGCTCTGGAGTGAAACCCCTCAAAACCAAATTTTAAAAATTACAAAAACATTAACTGAAATCAAGTTTTTAAAAATCTTGTAGATGAAAAGATATGATATATAGTAGGTTTAAGTACCTATTTCAATGGTTCACAAAGTCTGGCCCTCAGACCCCCAGGTCCAAACTGTTTTGACAGGAATACTAACATGGTGACATTTGCTGTAAGGGTGCAGATGCAATGGTGGGTAAAAATGCTGGTACTTTAGCATAAATAAAGGCAGTAACACCAAACTACTAGTAGTCATGGTATGACTACTGTGCACGGGAAAGGTTTAAAGGTGTAAAAAGGAAGGGAGGGCCGGGCATGGTGTCTCATGCCTGTAATCCCAGCACTTTGGAAGGCCAAGGTGGGCAGATCACCTGAGGTCAAGAGTTTGAGAGCAGCCTGGCCAACACGGTGAAATCCCGTCTCTACTAAAAATATAAAACTTAGCCGGACATGGTGGTTGCATGCTTGTAGTCCCAGCTACTTGGCAGGCTGAGGCAGGAGGATTGATTGAGCCCAGAAAGTTGAGGCTACAGTGAGCTGTGATCATGCTACTGCACTCCAGCCTGGGTGACAGAACAAGGCCCTGTCTCAAAAATAAAAAGAATGTCTATGATGAAGCAGTGAAAATTTTACTACATCTTAATCCTTGAATATGTCTTTTTAATATTTCAAGTGATGAAATGGGAAGTATACATGAGCATTCCTACAGACTGCCTTAGAAAAAACCTTCGTGTGACTAAGTCATGAAGTGAATTAGCCACTTTAGTGTAATATCATTTTTACTTCAAAGGATGACTGACAAAAAAATATTATTTCAGCTTGGGTTTTGAGAGACATTTTCTCAAAAAAGGAGATTCTGTTATTTCAAGCAAAACAACAGACAGGCCATAATAAAATTCAACAATAAAATTGCTAATAATAAAACTCAAGCTTTTAAACAAAAAATTAGAATTTTAGAAAACTTATATCCACCATTGCTTTCCAAAAGTATTCTGATGAGACTGATGGTGATATTGATGAGTGTATTTTGATACCATATAATCAAAGGTATCAACATATAGAAGATCTCGGTGAACTATTATTTTCAAAATGACCAATGCATGATGTTATAATATCATGCAAAGGTAAAAGATCCAAAGTTCAAGAAAAATCAAGTTTTGATGGAGTATCAAATAAGAAGCCAAGGCAACATGGCAAAACCTTGTCTCTACAAAAAATACAAAAAATTACCTATGTGTGGTAGTACACACCTGTAGTCCCAACTACTCTGGAGGCTGAGTTGGCAGGATCACCTGAGTCCCCAGAGACTGAGGGTCCAGTGAGCCATGATCATAGCACTGCATTCCAGCCTGGGAGACAGAGCAAGACCCCATCTCAAAAAGAAAAAAAAAAGAAAAAGAAATATCCACAATGATCTAAAATGCCTATCTGTATAAGACTGGGCTTTGTTCACATTTTCTCAAGCAAATATCACACAGTAAATTGGATGCAGATGCAAATGACATACCAAACATCAAAGAAATTTGCAAAAGATGTAAGATTGTACTACTTTGGGTTTAGAAATGTTCTTTTCATAGAAACATTTATAACATCTCAGGATGGATCATAATCTTAGCTGCAGTTTTCCTTCCAAATAGGGTTACAAAGTATTAAAACATGGGCTTGGAAGTGACAGACCTGAGTGAATCAGCACAGCTTAAAAAAATCCAATAAAACTAACTTTTAATAATCCTGAGGTTGGTTTTTGAAACAATAGATACAATTATTTACTCTAAGCATCTGGTTATGATTTTGAATCAGTAATACATACTGTCTACACCCTTTTTTTTTTTTAAAGGAAACAGAGGTTTCATCCAGAAAACCCCAAAACAGTGAATTTTTTTTTTAGACAGGGTGTCACTATGTCTCCCAGGCTGTAGTGGAGTGGTGGCTCTCAGCTCACTGCAGCCTCAACCCCCCACCTCAGCCTTGCGAGTAGCTGGGACCACAGGCGCCACTGTGCCCGGCTAACTTATTGTATTTTTTGTACAGATGGGGAATTGCCGTGTTGCCCAGGGTGGTCTCAAACTTCTAGGCTCAAGTCATTCACCCACTTCAGCCTCCCAAAATGCTGTGACTACAGGCGTGGGCCACCGTGCCCAACCTGCAGTGACTTTTTAAAACATAAGTTCAAGCATCTCTTCTTAACTCCTTTAATTGGACGTATCTCTTCTCTTATTGTCCTCATCTTTGGTGTTCCGCCAGAGTTCACTGCTGACTGGATGTACAACATGTATTTCAAAGTCAAGGCTGGGTGCGGTGGCTCACACCTATAATCCCAGTGCTTTGGGAGTCAGGGCAGGCAGATCGCTTGAGTCCAGGAGTTCTAGACCAGCCTGGGCAACATGGTGAAACCCTGCTTGTATTAAAAATACAAAAAAATGGGCATTTCCGGGAGCGCTGCCTGGAGTTGGTGTCCCCGCTTTTGGCATGGTGGCCTTTTCCAACCTGGCTGGGCCAATCCAGTCACTGAACCTGAAGGAAGATGCCAAGTTTCAGAAGAAAGTGGCACAGGTTCGCAAGCACATAACCCAGTGAAAAAAACAAGAACAGCTTACTCCTGGAGTAGTCTATGTGTGCCACCTACCTAACCTACTGAACAAAACCCAGATCCTTTCCTATTTCTCCCAGTGTGGCACTGTTACAAGGTTCAGACTATCCAGAAAGAAAAGGACTGGAAATAGCAAAGGCTATGCATGTGTGGAGTGTGAGTCTGAGGATATTGCCAAGATAGTTGCTGAAACGATGAACAACTACCTGTTTGGTGAAAGACTCTCAGAGTGTCATTTTATGCCACCTGAAAAATTCAAAAAGAACTCTTTAAAGACTGGGATATTCCATTTAAGCAGCCATCATATCTGTCAGTGAAACAGCATAATCAGAATCGGCACTTACACAAAAGCTGCGAATAGAGGGACGATTTAAAAAGAAAGAAAGATTACTCAGGAAGAAATTAGCTTATAAAGGAATTGATTATGATTTTCCTTCTTTGATTTTACAGAAAATGGAAAGTATTTCAAAAACGAATCATCTGATGTCTACAAAAGGCCACGTTTTACGTAAGAAGAAGAAAAAGGTTTTAGGCATTCCTGACACTCCTGAGAAGACTGTGGATACCCAGGGCCCCACACCGGTTTGTACATCAACATTTTTGGAGAGACAAAAATCTGAAGTGGCTGAAATGAATGATGATGATGAAGATAATGAAATAGTTTTTGAAAAGCCCATATCCTGTGTAAAAGAAGAAATACAAGAGACTCAAACACCTACACATTCACAGAAAAAAAGACAAAGCATTCAGTGATTTTCAATATATTATATATAAGATTTCTTCTGAAAAATATAATGTTTTTATGAGAAAAATACAAAAAATTAGCTGGGCGTGGTGGATCATGGCTGTAGTCCCAGCTACTTGGGAGGCTGAAGTGGCAGGATCACCTGAACCTAGGAAGTTGAAGCTACAGTGAGCCATGATTGCGCCACTGCACTCCAGCCAAGTAAAATTACATTTATCTTAGCCTTTTCTGACTGGCTTAAGTGGGATCTGTATTAAGAATACAATAGGCAATCTCACAGACATCTAAATACAGAACTCAGCATGTGACCACACCATGGAAGGACTGTGCTGGGAGGTGATTTTCCTCTCCTGCATGCCTTCACTCTGGACTTCTGCTCCATGCTTGTGCTTTGCTCTGCAGATGGACGTTCGGCACGTGCTCCAGGCTCCTCCAGCCGCTGAGGCTTTGGCTTGCCCTGGCAGTACCCCTGGTCCCAGTGTTACTGGACCTTTCCATACAGATGCTCCTCTGCAAAAAATCTATCGAACACTCTCTGTGTCATTTCCAATGAGCAGGATAGAGAATCTGATCTGCCTAGCAGTGGGGGTGGGAGTTCCCTAGTTGTCCCTGGATTTGTAGTGCTGCCCTTTCCAGAGACTCGAGGAGGGTCCGGATATCCAAAGAGAGGATGTGGGTGGGGAATCAGTAATACAGTCTACTTCAACAAGAAAGTATAAAGTAGAGGCGGTGGCTCACGCCTGTAATCCCAGCACTTTAGGAGGCCAAGGAAGGCAGATTACTTGAGCTCAGGAGTTTGAGACCAGACTGAGCAACATGGCAAAACCCCATCTCTACTAAAAATACAAAAAATTAGCTAGGTGTGGTGGCACATGCCTGTAGTCCTGGCTACTTAGGAGGCTGAGGTGGGAGGCTTGCTTGAGCCCAGGAAGTCGAGGCTACAGTGAACCAAGATTGTGATGCCACTGCCCTCCAGCCTGGGTGATAAAGCGAGACCCTGTCTCAAAAAAAAAAAAAAGAAAGTATAAAGTGGAAGGATCTGTATGCATGATTGAAGCATCTGTATGCATGATTGAAGCATCTGTATGCATGATTGAAGTCATGTTTTCCATATTTTTTTCCACCTTGCCCTTTTTTTCTCTACAACACTGTATCTGAAGCTTTTCCCTAGGTTATCAAGTACTCATAAGCATTATTTGAATGGTTGTATCAGATCCATTATCTAGACTCATTGTCGTTATCCATCTGCAGTTGCTGGAGATACTGTCCTTTCTGCCACACTCAGTCACCCTTCTGACCTTGCTCTGTGTCCGGTTATCTACTAATACACATGCTGGTCATTTAGGACTTCAACTTAAGAATAAATAATTATCATAGTTCCTAACACTTCAAAAAGAACGTAGCTTCCTAAAAATAGAATGGCTAGGTGGTTATGATAATTTTAAAGTAAAATAGACAAATTGATATTGAAATTAACTTTTTGCTTTCTTCTTTTATCTATTTTTCACTTCTCTGTCATTTTGATGGATAGTTTCATTTGAAAGGATTTTTTTTTTCAAAATAGAAATAGCATATGACATGGGAATGGTTGAACTAGAAAGGTTCAACTTTCTAGTCATTAGTTTCCTAAGATTGTCACAAAAGCTACTGATAGTCAATCATGATTGGCCTGTATTGAAAGTGAGTTAACATTATGTACAACTTAAGCACTGTACTTTCTATCAGATACAGAAAAATTGGTGCTGTGTTTGGAAAAGTATTGGGCTAGGAGTCAGGAAGCTTGACTGTTAGTCCCAACCCTGCTTCTTCAGCTCAGCACCCCTAGGCAATAATTCAGCAGCTATTTCTTAAATACCTAATGAGTTTCAGGCTTTGTAGTTGGGCTGGGAATAAAGACATAGATATTGCTTTCATGATTCTCCAAGGCTCCCCTCCTCACCCCAGCTCTCAGTGAGCTTTCTTATGTATTGTGTAAATTTGTCTCCTAACAGGTCCCAACTCTCTCTCCAACCTGCTTCCCAGGGAAGTTGTAAGGATCAAATGAGGGAGAATATGTGTGAAAGCAAATTGTAAATGATTTTAAAATGCAATAAAAATATGACCCATGGAAAATTATTTAAAGATCCTTAGAATTTTAAATAAAGAGTACATTAACCTGAGTTCTCTATGGTTTTTATTTTAAATAGATATGAAAGTTTTACAATGAACCACTGATATGGTAGAAAATCTTAGCTTGATTATTCTCCAAGAAAATGATACAGTTGTTTGTGCGATGAATTTTCTAAAATTGCCAGCCAAATAAAACCAAAACCTCTTTTGAGTTGAGTGACTGGATCAGTCAAAGGAACGTTGACTGTGTAATGGAGAAATGTTTTCTGTGTTCACTGACAGTTTGCCTTTGTTTGATTCTAGCTGCAGCATATCGTGAGTGATGAGACCTGTGTGTAGGTGACTGAACTTTACCTGGCAGAAAATAATAATGGGGCCACCGGAGGCCAGCTGAACACACAGAACTCAAGAAGCCTCCTGGAGTCAATGTATCCGCAGAAAGCCGAGCAGCTAATGTCAGATGAGAAATGCTTTAAGGTGAGAGTTGCTCATATAGTCAAAGACCTTGCTGGTGACAATGTAAGTTGTTAGGATTCTCTGAATCAGAAGTTATAGCCAGGGTACTTTGACCCTGTAATTCTACTCCTGGAACTTTTTAGAGTTCCTAATGAGTTCACCAGAGAAATGCAAAGTGGAAGAAACCATCTTCCCGGACAATCTACTTTCTTTCTTGCCGTAAAAACAAACAAACAAAAAACTAATTATATATGATTTTTACAATTTTGTATTCTTTTTCTCTGAACATTTTTCATAGCATGCTTTGTAAATATTATTGTTAGAAAAATGTTGGTACATGAAATGCATGGTCATGGTCATTATAGAAAAGGAAATGTAGGCCTGGCACACATGGCTCACACTTGTAATCCCAGCCCTCTGGGAGGCTGAGGTGGGCAAATGGCTTGAGACTAGCTTGGGCAACATGGCAAAACCCCATCTTTGCAAAAAATACAAGAATACAAAAATTAGCCAGGTGTGGTGGCATGCACCTATAGTCCCAGCTACTCAGGAGATGGAGGTGGGAGGATCGATTAAGCCTGGGAGGTCGAGGCTGCACGTCACTGCACTCCAGCCTGGGTGGCACAGCAAGACCCTATCTCAAAACAATAAAAGAAAAAAAAATGCAGATAACCAAAAAAAAGTCACTTTAAAATTCTTTCCTGAAATTACCATTGAAGACATTTCTAGACTTTTCTGTGCTTGAGTATATATTTTGAAAGAGTTTATACTGGACAAAAGGTCTTTCACTTTTTTTTTTTTTGAGACAGGGTCACACTCTGTTGCACAGGCTAGAGTGCAGTGGTGCGACCTTGGCTCACTGCAACCTGTGCCTCCTGGGTTCAAGTGATCATCGTGCCTCAGCCATCCTAGTAGTTGGAATTACATGTGCCACCATACTGGCTAATTTTTGTATTTTTAGTAGAGATGTGTGTCAGATCCCAGGGTCCAGGTCCAGCCCATGGTGAAGTCTGAGGGGAGTGGGTGGGTGAGCAGAAAGAACAATCAGGGGGCCATAGGCAGGTGAAAGATAGTTTTATTCAGCGGCAGCTCTCATTAACAGCTTTCTTACACTAGCTCTCTTATTAGCAGCTTACTCTTCCACTGTTCGCCTGTCTCAGCTGCTTGAGCCAGCTGCCCCCACACACAGCTACGCAGCCAGCTCTCCCTTGCCTTCAGGGTAAGTGGCTTAACTCCTTCTCTCTCTGGGCATGAGCAAGCCCAGCTGTGTCCTGGCTCCCTCCCATCTGCCTGCAAGATGGACAGCTTTGGTTCTCTCTGGGTGCCAGTGCGCTCGTCATGTCAAGCCATGTTAAGCCAAACTGAGCCAAGCCCCGAAGAGCCATGTCTCTTATGGACAGCATCAACAGGGCAGTTATACCTTTTACAGACAATAGTGGCATAAAGCCAGGAATGAACTTACACAAACAGGTTATATTACAAGTGGAGCTGTGTGCTTGCACGCCAAACTCGTGAGTCATGCAGGCCTGGATATCCACCTCGGCCTATTCCTTGACCAAAGCACATCCATGTGCCTTACTATGTGGTTTTGTATGTTGGCCAGGCTGGTCTCAAACTCCTGAACTCAAGTGATCTGCCCGCTTCAGCCTCCAAGTGCTGGGATTACAGGTGTGAGCCACTGCATCTGACCTGAAATGGTGTATTTTTGCTCAATTAGCAACACTTCTGGGTCTTTAATGTCTTTTCTATGGCTACTTGATATTCACTTTATAGAGAATTAATGCCTGTATTGTTGGACATTTAAGTTGTTTCCAAGTTTTCACCATTATAACTGTATTTGTGTGTATATATTATATTCTTGCCAGGCTGTAAGCTTTACTAGCAGAGAGGAAATTTTAAAGCTTTGAAAGAACACTGAGCTAGATCTAGCTTCTGGCTCTGTGTGTTTATTGACTAGTGGTGTGCCTTGAGAAACCAGAACTCTCTGAATTTCAGTTTTGTCTCTGTGTAAATGAAGAAGGTTGAAATTAAAAAATCTCGTTTCCTTCCAGGCTCTGATCTTCTCCATGTGATTCTGATAGTTACCTCCTCTGCAGAAAGACATTAGGGTAACGGCACTGAGAATCTCAGGGTTCTGAAAGGGGAGATCCATGTGCCATCACCATTGATAGTTGTTTTTTGCAAAACATGGTTTGCTTGCCTCTATTGGTGTGTTGCTTTTAAGTATGGATTTTTAAAAATCACACAAAGAATATTAGTGGAACTCAGAATTTCAGGAACTTCATATACAATTGGTGCCATTTTAACAACACTTTTTTTGTTTTGTTTTGTTTTTGAGACAGGGTCTCACTCTGTTGCCCAGGCTGGAGTGCAGCGGTATGCAGGAATGCCAGCAGTTTTTAGCCAATACAACAGATCCCTGGAGGTCAAGGGATCCTGCTTATCACTCTGGCCTTCCTACCAATTAAGTTAATTACATCCACATTGTTGTTGATGGTGAAGTGCCACCACCTGGCATCTGCTGTTCTCACCTTCCACCATTCCCACTGACACCAAAAGCCTGGTCTCATGGCAGCATCTCCTGTTGTCGATCTTGGCCTACAAAGGATAGTGCCACTGAGTCTCTGAAAGATTCAGGTGCCTTTCTCCGTAGTGCCTTTCTTGTTAGCCTAGAGAAGGGAGTTCCTGTGAGCCCTCCAAGGGCACATGGTCAAGTGGTGGATTCCGAATCTGCTGGCATATAACGAACCATCCCAACATTCCTACCTCCCTGTACTTTCCAGCTTCTTTGATGCTTTGGGAATGCAGTTGTATAATCTCCACCTAATTCACTGCAGCAACTGTTACGTCCACATTTCAAGGAGCCACTCCAGCAGTGTGTTAGATCCTCCGGTGTCCTTGCCAAGCCATTAAATCCTGAGAGTGCTCCCAGGTCAGTGTATTCTCATGTGTACAGCCTTTAGTCTCCCCTTGGTCCAACACCCTTATGTTCACTTCTCCACCTCCTCTCCCAGATTCTGCCAGTACACACTAGGCAGCCCCTGCAACATTTTTGGCAAAAAAATCATTTTCCCAGAGCAGGTTGTGCTTGTGACCTTGGGCCATGATGAGGAATGACCATAGTCTGGTGTCAATGTGGGGCAGCAATTATGACATGCCTCATCCTGCTGTGAGGGCTTGTTGGAGGCTCTTTGCCTAGTCTCCAGGCAAGGGGCAGCTGCCCTTCTCTTAGCAAGGAAAGGGGGCTGCTTCTTTTAGACCAGAGCATTCAGTGGAAACTGGAAGCTCAAAGTTCTCAGATGTATCCACTTAAGTTTTCCCATAGCAGATATCATTCCTCTACTCTCCTCTCCATTCCTCTCCTCTTCTCCCTCCCCTCCTTTCCTCTCCTCTTTCTTTTCCTTTCTCTTTCTCTTTTTTTTTCTCTTTGAGATGGGATCTCACTCTGTCGCCCAGGCTGGAGTGCAGTGACATGATCTCAGTTCACTGAAACCTCTGCCTCCCAGGCTCAAGTGATCCTCCCACCTCAGTTTCCTGGGTAGCTGGGACCACAGGCACACACTACCACATCTGGCTAATTTTTGTATTTTTTATAGATAAAACGGGGTTTTACCGTGTTGCCCAGCCTGGTCTCAAACTCCCGGGCTCAAGTGATCCTCCTGCCTCAGCTTCCCAAAGTGCTGGGATTACAGGTATGAGCCACTACACTCAGCTCTCCTTTTCCTTAAGTAATTCTAAATAAAAACAAGACTAAATCATAAAATAAAATTTGTGTTTTTTGGGGAAATGACACAAAACTTCCATGACACTTGAAATTAAGACAGTTTGTTTCTAGATTTTCTGCTGTGCATGTGCACGTGGGTGTGTGCACGTGGGTGTGTGTACGTGCTCATCCTTGGTTGGCGCCCTATGTGTGGACTTGCTGTATCTACTGAGTCAATCTGCAGTGTCTGACTGCACAATTTCCAGCACACAGAAGCTCTACATAGCAGTTGAGACTGAAGCAGCAGTCTCCTTCTGGGTTTAATTTGAATTAAACTGTCAGGGTGTACTTGTGTGAGAAACTGATAATTTTCAGCAAGAAATTTCCAGATGAGGCCTGTCACCCTCCAGTGTAACTCTAGGTCCTGCTTGGCAGGGGAACTGGCTTTGGCTGGAGGCTGGGTCAAAATGGTTGCCCCGGAACAGCACATTCCCATCCCAGGAGGGAGCTCTGTTGGGAGCATGAGATGGACCAAGAAGACCCATCCATTAGGAAAGTGACTCTTGGTCTGTCTAGTTTTAATGGAGGAGGGAGCTTGGTGCAATGACCAATTTTGATGGGGGAGCTAGTGGGAAACATGGGCATTGTCTTTCTCATGTGTGCCCCACTGGGGGCCCACCCTTGAGGGGTGAAAAGTTCCTGGAGATGGATCAAGAGTGGTGTACATGTCACAGCTGCCCAGGCTGGGGTCCTCCCACCACCCCTTGGTCCTGCCCTCTGGAACCCTGGGCAGGCTGGCAGGAACCCTTTTCTTGGTCTGGGCTTCTGGCAAGGATGCCTATTGCTTCCTATCATCCATGTGGGGAAGGCTAATTGGAAGATTCTGAAACTAGGAGAACAGCAATTATCAAGTGAACCCAAGATGTGACTAAAACTATCTCTGATGGCAAAGCCTTTGATGCTGAAGAGCCTGGCCCATAGAAAGATGGCCTTGAGCATGGCACCTCTGACCAAATCCCTCACTCTGACCTACTGAGCATATGAACCCAGCCCTGCTCCCAGCTGGGGCCAGAGGAAGACCTCATGGAGTCCACGTGATAACTGTACTTCCTGTGTGCGTGTCACAGCTGATTCCACCCACACTGTCCTCTGCCCCGGCCAGCCCAGCCCTGCCATGCCCTGCCATTGCAGTCAGGGCTCTTTGGGTGTGAGTGACAGAAAATTCACTCGAGTTGGCTTAGGCAAGAAGGGAAGTTCATTGCTCAGTAAGTTAGCCACGGGCAGGGCAGGGAACAGCTGGGCCTCAGGAATACCTGGACTCAGAGTCACCAGCACTGTCAAGATTTGCAGGCTCCTTCCCTTGTCTCTGTCTCCACCTCAGTCCGCAGATCAGTTTTGTGCTCTCAGAGCAACTTTCTTCACAAGGTTGGAATCAGGCTGTTGGCAGCATGAGGCTTCCATCTTCCTGGCTTTTCCCGCAAGAAAGGATGGGGCTCCTCTCCATTAGTTCCTATTCAGAAACTTCCAGAAGAAAGTTTCTGCTTGGTCTGGTCTGGATTGGCTGGGTAGCTGGGACACTAGAACTGCCAAGCCCTCTAGTGTCATGTGGTTGAAGTAGGGCGGGGAGATGTATTAGTCACTTCAGGGTGCCATGCCAAAATACCACAGACTGGGTGGCTTAAATCACAAACATTTATTTCTCACAGTTCTGGAGGCTGGGAAATCCTAGACCAAAGTGCCAGCAAGGTAGGTTTCATTCTGAGGCCTCTTCTCTTGTCCCGTAGGTGGCTGCCATATTGTGTGCTCACATGACCACTTCTTTGTATGCACATGGAGAGAGAGTGCGTGCACTCTCTGGCGTCTCATCTTATAAGGACACTAATCCTACTGAATCAGGGCCCCACACTTAGGACCTCATTTAACCTTAATGACTTCCTGAGAGGACTTATCTCCAAATGCAGCAACACGGAGGATTAGGGCTTCAGTGTGAATTTGGAGGAGTCAGAGACATTCAGTCCATAATGGGAAGAAAAAACTATTCAGGAAAAAAGGGGTGCAGTGGCCAGAAAAAGGGGGCAGATAAAACTTCAGATGCTCTCCCCATTTCCCCCAATACACATACACACACAACCCTGCCTTTGCCCCTTCCCCACAAGGCCACTCCCCACCCCATGATTATTTACCTCCCTCCTGTCCTGCTCTGTGGAGCTACTCCTTCCCCTAAGTTGTCCTGTGGCGAACAGAATGCTACATGCAGGTAGGTGCATGTAAATGCAGCCCGGAACTGGGGGCCTCCTGGACCATGTGTGTCCTGAGCCCCACCATGGGACTGGGCAGGAAGTGGGTCTTACCCATGTCTCCTGTCCTCAGGCAGAGCCTAGCCCTGGGACATGAGCTCAGTGGGTGCTGCAGCTTTGTTGGATTCACCTCAGGCCCCCTTTCCCCCCATCCACTTATAAGGTTCCCAGGGCCTTGTTACCTCTGTCCTTGGAAGAAAAGAATGAGATTACCCAGCTCACATGAACCTGCTGGTAGCTTCCCACAATAGAAGGACATAATTTTCTTATTTTCTTTCTTTTTCTTTTTTTTTTTTGAGATGCAGTCTCACTCTTTCACCCAGCCTGGAGTGCAATGGCGCAATTTTGGCTCACTGTAACCTCTGCCTCTCTGATTCAAGCGATTCTCCTGCCTCAGCCTCCTGAGTAGCTGGGGCTACAGGTGCGTGCCACCACACCTGGCTAATTTTTTGTATTTTTAGTAGAGATGGGGTTTCACCATGTTAGCCAGGATGGTCTCAATCTCCTGACCTTATGATCTGCCACCTCGGCCTCCCAAAGTGCTGGGAACAGGCATGAGCCACCACACCCAGCCAGAAGGACATAATTTTCTAGTTCAAAAGTGTTGGGGTGATCAGGCCCAACACCAGGCCATGGAGGCTCCAAAGTCCAGCGGGGTCAAAGGAATGAGAAAAGACAAGAGTGCATAAAGTGGGTCCAGGGGGCCAATGCTAGATTGGAGGCTGTGAAGGCCCTGAGCTCTGGGAGCCCACACTATTTACTGGTGATCAAACAAGCAAGCAGGTGGTGAGGACATGTGGATGTGGGGGTAAACAGGTGAGGGTGTGGGGACGTGGTGGTAGAAAGGTACCGGTGCATCAAGTGTAGCTGTGATGGTTTTGCATTTTCTTTGATGCATATAGAATATGCTCTGCTGCTTGAGATAATGGGGAACATGTTTCTGAGCCTGGGAGAGCAACCAACAAGTCTGTGCACACTCCAGAGGCTATGAGGGGTTTTATGCCCTGAGCCCTGGATTCCATCAAAGCCACAAGGGATTTTATGCCCTGGGCTTAGATTGTGGTGCGGCAGGGCAGCCTTCCACCCTTTGGCACAGAACTTGGTGTTCCAAAGGCCACGAGGGGTTTTAGAACCTGGACCCTGGACCCTGGACATGTTCCAAGACTCTTTTATATTATGACTGACAAGCCAGTCCTGCCTCAGCTCTTACACCAACAAAAAGCATCTACCAAGTGACTAGCACAGTGAATGAAGAAAGACCTGCAATAAGGCACATCACTGAGAAATTCTAGAAAACCAAGGATAGAGAGAAATTCCTAAAATCTTCCAGAGAGAAAAGACAGGTTGTATGTAAAGAGCCAAGACTTTGCATGACACTGACTTCTTCCCAACAACACTGGGAACTAGAAAATAAAAATAATAGAGCAATATTTCCCAATGTGAGGAGAAGTTCTGTTTAAACTACAGCATTGCATCCAGCCAAACTAGTAATCAGGAGTTGAGGTAGAACAATGACATTTTAAAATATATGGGGTCAGAAAGCTTGGCTTCCATTCACTCTGTCTCAGGAAGCCACTGGAAGATGTGCTGCAACACAATGAGAGGATAAACCAAGGAAAAAGAAGATCTGGGGCCAGGGAACAGGAGATGCACACAGAAGCGGCAGTAGGAAATTCACACGATGATGCAGAGACATGCCAGGATGCCAGTGGTGCCACAGGCTGAGAGAGCTGAGTCCAGTTTGGAGCAGGATGAAGGATGCACACAGAAGCGGCAGCAGGAAATTCACACGATGATGCAGAGACATGCCAGGATGCCAGTCGTGCCACAGGCTGAGAGAGCTGAGTCCAGTTTGGAGCAGGATGGAGGGCAAGGGAGAGAGGGAAGCCTCCAGGAAAATAATAGGGCTGATACAGTATCCAGTGTTTCTTAGTTTTTGGATAATTATCACTAGACATTTGATAGATCAGTTGGAGCATCTGAAAAAAAAAAGGTAGGTAATAGGTAGGTACAAAAACATATAAGCAAATGAAGGGAAAATATCTGAAGCAATTATTAACTCCAGGGGAAGAAAGAAATGAAACGATTTTAGTGCAGGACTTGGCTGAGGGAAGAATATTTAGGTGTCTACAAGAATGTAAATATTTTTGATTTCATAAGATTGTGATCCAATCAAATTGGTAGAATGAAGGCAAGGAAATTGTTAAGATCTCATAAGGGAGGTAAATCCCTATACTGTGCTATGCCAGGAAGTCAACAGATACTGAGGAAAACAAATCAAGAAATGGCAACATAAACGTTATTTAGAAATATGATTATAAATACCAGATGACGTAGCAAAATGAGTTTAAAGTGATGGCCTCTGGGAATTAGCACTCAAAGGCAAGAAAGGAAAGGGCACAAGAAATGGTTTTTGATATAAGCCTTTTGTCACCATTTTGTCCTTTTCTTCTCGTTTTCTTTTTGTTCGTTTTACTGAGCATTTCTTGCTCCAGATACCATTTTGTTCGTAACTTTGTGTATCTAGTAATTTGATCAGAATTAAATATAATGTTAGTAAGTTCTGGAGATCTGTTGTACAGAATGATGACTATAGTTAATAATGTATACTTGAAATTTTCTAAAAGAGTAGATTTTTTGCTTTTATTATAATTTTTAACTGACACAGAACAGTTGTACATATTTATGGGGTGTAGTATAATATTTTTATACATGTATACAATGTGCAATGATCAAATCATGGCAATTAGTGCCTCCACCACCTCAAGCATTCACCATTTCTTTGTTCTGGGAGCATTCAAAATCCACCCTTCTAGCGATTTGAAAATATATAATAAATTGTCACCGTATAGTGCTAAAGACACTAGAACTTTTCCTCCTAACTATATATATATATATATATATATATATATATATATATATATATATATACACATATATATATACATATATATATATACGTATATATATATATATATATATTTATTTATTTATTTATTTATTTATTTTATTTTATTTTTACAGTCAGGGTCTCACTCTGTCCCCCAGGCCGGAGTGCAGTGGCACAATCACAGCTCACTGCAGCCTTGACCTCTCAGGCTCAGGTGATCCTCCCACTTCAGCCTCCCGATGTTTACTTTGAGCACCTTGGATTAAGGTACATCTGTCAAATTTCTCTACTGTAAACTTTCCCCTTTGTAATTGTGAGCAGATATTTTGAGGCAAAATATCTGTTCCTCATCAACTTTTTGCCCACTAGCTTTAGCATCTATTGTTGATATTCAAAATCCATCATTCCTTTTATATTTATTCGTATTCTACTCTAAGGAAGAGATTATTTATTCCCAGCAAACGTTTGTATTTGTATGTGGAGGGGGGGTAGAGCATTCTCAACAAATACTCTTACCTTCTAAATACAGCTCTGCATAAAGAAGCCCCTCCCCTAGGTCTGATGTTAATGGTGAGGAAAGGATTGGGCTTTATGTAAGTATGGCGGGGCGGGGAGCTGAGACAAGGGGGAGCTTACACAAAGCCCAAACTGAGAAAAATTACCAATAATAATAAAACTGGGCAGCTTGCTGTGATACTTCCCACACTCCTCCACTGGGGGGCGATGTCATTATTTTCATCTTCCCAGCTCGCCCACCTAGGAAACCTGCCCTAGGTAACTTAGATACGAAGTAAGGGAGGGGCAGGGACGGGAGGCTGCACGGGGACTGCGGGAAGCAGCTGTGACAGTGCTCCAGCTGTGCTGGGTAACCTCTCTAGGCTTTGGTTCTTTCCTCTAAAACACGACCAATCATAGTGCTCATTAGAGCTACCTGAGGATCTCATTAAACGCAAATGGTCAGGCCCCGCCCCCACCCCCGCCCCCAGGGGCTGTGATTTGTGTTTCAGTTTGGGGCGGGCCCAGCACAGGTGTTCCGAGTGAGCTCTCCGGGCAGTGCCGTGCTCTGCCGGGTACCCTCGGGGGTATCCTCTCAAATTCTATGCGTCGGAGTAATGCTGTTGGCATAAACTAGGCTGTCTTCTGCTTTCTGTGTCATGGATACAGTGCTTGCTGAAGATTGAAAGTGCCCTCAGAAACTTTTGGAGGTAATTCTTTTTTCCCATATCTTCCTTCGTTATTTTCAACTAACAGAAGTTAAATACTTATATAAAATGAGTACATGTTAAAGATTTTTAAAATTTATTTTTATTTTTTGAGACGGAGTCTTCCTGTCTCCCAGGCTGGAGTGCAGTGGTGTGATCTCGGCTTACAGCAACCTCCACCTCCTAGGTTCAAGCGATTTTCCTGCCTCAACTTCCCGAGTAGCTGGGATTACAGGCGCCCGCCACCACGCCTGGCTAATTTTTGTACTTTTAGTAGAGACGGGGTTCACCATGTTGGCCAGGCTGCTCTCGAACTCCTGACCTCAAATGATCCGCCCGCCTCGGTCTCCCAAAGTACTGGGATTACAGGCCTGAGTCACCGCGCCCGGCCAAAGATTTTTTTTAAAAAACTCAATTGGGGGAACTGAGATGTTATAATCAGTTCAAAGGAGAAGTCAAAGAAGGACAAATTAATTTGGAGTAAAGTAACATTGAGAGGAATTTATAAATGGACACAAAACTAGCCTCTTCCTTCTACAGTGGGGAAGTCAACTGAAGCTCTATTGGAACAATCTTATTTGCAAGTCTCTAGACAGGAATTTTCTGCATGCTCTCAGGTATCTGTAACTTACAAAGTTGCAAAATCGCTTGAAGGCAGTGGAAGGTTCAGAGCCCTTGTAGAATCTGAATCAGAACCCGGGTTATTGCTCTTATCAGTCAGTGCATAGTGTTTCACTGAAGCACACATTTCCCCCCATATCTGTAAATTCATATATGTTTCCTGTATTGCCTATGTCATCAATATTTTCCATTTTATTAGTATGTAATTATGCATAGTTTTCCCTTGTAACTAGGAAGATTCCAAATCTATTATGTCTCATATTTAATAGTCTTCATTTTCTGAATTAAACATGTCATGTGTTTGACTATTTTACCGATAGTTTCAAAGAACCAGCATTCGGAGTTCTTCCTCCCTTCCTTCCTCTTTACTTGAGGTTGTCTCTTTTTCCCATTAGAACTTGTGAGAAATATGAATAATGCTTATTTTCTCTCTTCAACTGCAGAGTTTGGCAAATGATAGCCAGCTGCTTGTTTGTGTGTGAGCCAGAAACTAAAAATGGCTTTTTAATGTTAGTTTTTATTATTTTTAAGACCACCCTCCAGCAGGTGTATAAAAATGTCTTTTACTTTTTTTTTTTTTTTTTTTTTTTTTGAGACAAGGTCTCACCTTGTCACCCAGGCTGGAGAGCAGTGGTGCTAGGGTGTGTTTCAATATGGCTGTGTTCCAATAAAACGTTATGGGCACTGAAATTTGAATTTTCACTGGCCATATTCTTCTTCATCTTTTAAACATTTAGAAATGTAAGGCATGGTGGCTCAGCACTTTGGGAGGCCGAGGCAGGAGGATTGCTTGAGGCTAGGAGTTCAAGACCAGCCTGGGCAACATAACGAGGATCTGTCTCTACTAAAAGTTAAAAAAAAAAAAAATTAGCCATGTGTGGTGGCACACTAATTTTAAAGTCCCAGCTACTTGAGAGGCTGAGGTGGAAGGATCATTTGAGCCCAGGAGTTCAAGGCTGCGGTAAGCTATGATGGCTCCACTGCACTCCAGCATCGGTAACAGAGTGAGACCCTGTCTCTAATTTACCAACAGAAAGAAGGAAGGGAAATGATTTTGAGTGGTTTTCCTTGGCTTTTGATGAGTCAAGAGATGTTACCAGTACTGCTCAAAGTGTCAATGCCAAGTTTGAAGAGACTGAGAATTTGGCTTTATGAGTAATCTACATAGAACAACTATAGGTAAGAATATTTTTAAAGAAGACTAGAAATCACTAATTCGGTGTAACCTGAGGTGGGAATCTGCTGAGCTCTGGTACAGATGGTTGTAGCAAAAGTATGTGTGGAGCACAAAAAGGCTCATTTGGAGAAATTCCAAAGCTGGCAAAAATGTAGTGTTTAAAACTCATGGTTGTCATTATATTATTCATCAGATGCCTTGTGGAAAATATCTATGTTATGGATAATGGAAGTGAACTTCATTTCCTCTCATTTAACTATCATCAATTCTATGAAATTTGGTAAAGTGTTGTTTTTAAAGTGTGATAAAATTTAATATTTATCATTTTAACCACCCATAAGTGTACAATTCAGTGATGTTAAATGCATTCATGTTATGTATGATCATTGTGTGTACTCAAAAAACTTTTTCATCATCCCCAATAAAAACTCTGCACTCATTAAATAACTCCCCATTCCCCCTTTCCCCAAACCCCAAGTAACTTCAGTTCCATTTTCTGTCTCTATGAATTTGCCTTTTCTAGGTACCTCATATAAGTGAAATCATCAATATTTGTCCTCCTATGCCTGGCTGCTTTCACTAAGCGTAATATTTTCAAGGTCCATCCTTATTGTAGCATATAGCAAAATTATATTCCTTTTGTGGCTGAATAATGTTCTGTTGTGTGTATATACCACATTTTGTTTATCCATTCATCTGTTGAAGGACATGTGGGTTGTTTCTATCTTTGGGCTATTATGAATAATGCTGCTGTAAACATGAGTGTACAAATATCTGTTGGAATCATTGCTTTGCTAACCATTCATTAGCACAAGATGTCTTTCTATTTATTTAGGCCTTTCTTTATTTAGGACTTTCAATAATGTTTTGTAATTTTCTGGGTTATATTCCCAGAAGTGGAATTGCTGGGTCATCTAGTAATTCTGTTTAAGTTTTTGAGGAAATACCATGCATAATATCTTCCACAGGAGCTGCACCATTTTACATTCTCACCAGCAATGTGCAAGACTTCTGATTTTTTCCACATCCTTGCCAACATGTTATTTTCCATTAAAAAAATAGTACTTATCCTAATGGGTGTGAAGTGAAGATATTTCGCTGTGTTTTTGACTTGCATTTCCCTAATGGTTAGTGATGTTGAGCATCTTTTCATGTGCTTATTGACCATTTGTGTGTCGTCTTTGGAGAAATGTCCATTCAAATCCTTTGCCCATTTTTGAATCAAGTGGTTTGTTTTCTTGAGTTGTAGGAGTTCTTTATATATTCTGGATGTTAATCCCTTATGAAATATGTGACTTGCAAGTATTTTCTCTCACTCTGTGTGTTGCCTTTAACGCTGTTGATAGTGTTCTTTGATAGCTATCAGGGGAACCAGCTCCCAGTATTTCAACATAGGTTCTTTTCTGTTTTCCCTAAGTGTCAGCTGATCTGAGAAATAAAGAGAAAGAGTACAAAGAGAAGTTTTACAGCTGGGCCTCTGGGGGTGACATCACATATTGGCAGGTTCTGTGATGTCAACCTGAGCCGCAAAACCAGCAAGTTTTTATTAGGGATTTTGAAAGGGGAGGGGTATACAAACAGGGAGTAGGTCACAAGGATCACATGATTCAAAGGGCCATAAAGATCACAAGATGGAGGCAAAATTAGAATTACTGATGAGGGTCTGTGTCCCACTGTGCACGCATTGTCTTGATAAACATTTTAACAGGAAACAGAGTTCAAGAGCAGACAACCGGTCTGACTAGAATTCACCAGGCTGGAATTTCCAATCCTAGAAAGCCTGAGGGCACTCCAGGAGACCAGGGCGTATTTCATCCCTTATCTCAATCACATAAGACAGACACTGTCATCGTGGCCGTCTATAGACCTACCCCTGGGAATGCATTCCTTCCCAGGGTTATCAATTATTAATATTCCTTGCTGGGAAAAGAATTCAGCAATATTTCTCCTACTCACACATCTGTCTATAGGCTCCCTGCAAGAAGTAAAATATGGCTCTATTCTGCCTGACCCCCCAGGCAGTCAGACCTTATGGTTATCTTTCCTTGTTGCCTGAAAATCGCTGCTATTCTGTTCTTTTTCAGGGTGCCCTGATTTCATATTGTTCAAACACCCATGTTTTACAATCAGATTTCATATTGTTCAAACACACATGTTTTACAAACAATTTGTACAGTTAACACAATCATCACAGGGTCCTGAGGCAACATACATCCTCAGCTTACAAAGATGATGGGATTGAAAGATTAAAGACAGGTGTAAGAAATTATAAGAGTATTGATTGGGGAAGTGATAAATGTCCACGAAATCTTCACAATTTATGTTCAGAGATTGCAGTAAAGACAGGCATAAGAAATTATAAAAGTATTTTGGGAACTGATAAATGTCCATTAAATCTTCACAATTTATGTTCTTCTGCCACGGCTTCAGCCGGTCCCTCCATTTGGGGTCCCTGACTTCCCGCAACAGATAAGTTTATTTTGATGAAGTTGAGTTTGCCTATTTTTTCTTTTGTTGCCTGTACTTTTGGTGTCATATCTAAGAACTCATTGCCAAGTCCAAGGTCATGAAGAATTACTCATGTTTTCTTTTAAGAGTTTTATAGTTTTAGCTTTTATATTTAGGTCTTTAATCCATTTTTAAAATTTTAGTGTATGGTATGAGGTAGAGGCCCAGCTTCATTCTTTTACATGTGGAACTCCAGTTAACCCAGCACGATTTGTTGAAGGGACTGTTCTTTCCACATTGAACAGACTTGGCACCCTTGTCAAAAGTCAATTGGCCACAGATGTACAAGTTTATTTCTGAACTCTCAGTTCTATTCCATTGGTCTATATATCTGTCCTTATGCCAGTACCACACTGTTTTGATTACTGTAGGTTTGTAATAAGTTTTGAAGTTGGAAACTGTGAATCCCCTCAAGTTCTTTTACAAGATTTTTTTTTTTTGGCCGTTTGAGCTATATTAGTTTTCTAGGGTTGCCATTAAAAAAATACCACAAACTGGCTTGGTGCAGTGGCTCACACCTGTAATCCCAACACTTTGAGAGGCCAAGGCAAGTGGATCACCTGAGGTCAGAACTTCACACCAGCCTGGCCAGCATGGTGAAACCCCGTCTCTACTAAAAATACAAAAACTCGCCAGGTGTGGTGACGTGAGCTTGTGGTCCCAGCTACTTGGGAGGCTAAGACAGGAGGATCACTTGAACCTGGGAGGCAGAGGTTGCAGTGAGCCGAGATCTTGCCACTGCATTCTAGCCTGGGTGACAGAGTGAGACTCCATCTCAAAAAAAACAAAAACAAAAACACCAAAATACCACAAACTGGGTTGCTTAAACAACATAATTTTATTTTCTTACAGTTCTGGAGGCCGGAAGTCTAAGATCAAGGTGTCAGCAGGTATGGTTTCTCTTGAGGCCTCTCTCCTTGGCTTGCAGATGGCTACTTTCTTGCTACATCCTCAAATGGTGTTTTCTTTGTGTACTTGCATCACTGATATCACTCAATGTGTCCATTGAGTGACACCTAACAGCCTTATTTTAACTCAATCACTTTCTTTTTTTTTTTTGAGACGAAGTTTTGCTCTTGTTGCCCAGCCTGGAGCACAATGGCACAATCTTGACTCACTGCAACCTCCACCTCCCGGGTTTAAGCAATTCTCCTGCCTCAGCCTCCCAAGTAGCTGGGATTACAGGCGCCCACCACCACACCTGGCTAATTTTTGTACTTTTAGTAGAGATGGGGTTTTACCATGTTGGTCAGGCTGGTCTTGAACTCCTGACCTCAGCCTCCCAAGGTGCTGGGATTACAGGCATGAGCCACTGTGCCCGGCCCTCAATCACTTCTGTAAAGGTCCTATCTCCAAATACAGTCATATTCTGAGGTACTAGGGGGTTACAGATTCATGTGAATTGAGAGGGCAGGAGGACACAATTCAGCCCATAACATAAGCTCCTTGCAATTTCATATGAATTGAAGATCAGATTTTCCATTTCTGCAAAAAAGGCTTTTGAAATTTTGTTAGAAGTTGCCTTGAATCTGTAGATGGCTGTGGGTAGTACTGATATTAATTCTTTCCATTCGTTAACACAAGATGTCTTTCCATTTATTTAGGCCTTTCTTTATTTAGGACTTTCAGGAATGTTTTGTAATTTTCAGTGTACAAGTCTTTCACTCCTTGGTTAAATTTATTCCCAGATATTTCATGCTTTTAGATGATAGTGTACATGGAATTGCTTTTAAAATTTCCTTTTCTGATTGTTCAATACTGGTATATAGAAACATAACTAGTTTTTGTGTGTTGATCTTGTACCCTGAAATTTTGCTGAATCATTTATTTGCTCTAGGAGTTGCCTTACATTCTTTGGGATTTTCTGTGTATAAGATCATATTGTCTGTGAATATAGTTTTACTTCCTTTTCAGTTTGAATGCCTTTTATTTCTTTTTCTTGTCTAATTGCTCTGGCTAGAACTTCCTAGTACAGGCCTGGTGCAGTGGCTCGCACCTGTAATCCCAACACTTTGGGAGGCAGAGGCAGGTGGATCACTTGAGCCCAGGGGTTTGAGACAAGCCTGAGCAACATAGCAAAACCCTGTCTCTATAAAAACAAAAATTAACCCAGGTGTGGTGGCACTTGCCTGTGGTCTCAGCTTCAGGAGGCTGAGATGAGAGGGTCGCTTCAGCCCAGGAGGTCAAGGCTGCAGTGAGCTATGATGGTACAACTGTACTCCAGCCTGTATAACAGAGTGAGACCCTGGCAAACAACAACAACAACAACAAAAAGATAGAAACTTCCAATACAATGTTGAATAGCACTGGTGAAAGCAGGCATTTTTGACTTGTTTGTGAAATTATGGGAAAAACTTTCAGTCTATTACCATTGAGTATGATGTTAGCTGTGGGCTTTTCATAAGTGCCTTTATTATGCTGAAGAATCTTCCCTCTATTCCTAGTTTTCTAAGAATTGTTAAATAAAGTTCTGTTTTTAATTCTGAGAGTTTTTATCATGAAAAAGTGTTGGCTTTTGTAAATGCCTTTTCTGTACCGATTAACATAATCATTCTACTAATGTGATGTGTTACATTAATTTGATTTTCTTATGTTGAACAACTTTTGCATTCCTGTTACAAATTCCACTTGGTCATGATATATAATGTGCTGTATTTGGTTTGCTAGTGTTTTGTTGAAGATGTTTGTATTGATATTCATAAGCGATATTGATTTTTATTTTTTTCTTTTTTATGTCTTAATATACCTTTGTTATAGGGTAATGCTGGCATCTGAATAAGTTAGGAAGTATTCCCTCCTCTTTGAATTTTTTTGGAAGTGTTTGAGAAAGATTGATACTAATTTTTCTTTAAATCTTTAGAAGACTTCACCAGTGAATCCATCTGGTTCTAGGCTTTTCTTTGTTGAGAAGTTTTGATTAAAGGATGTTACTTGTTATATGTCTGGTAAGACTTTCAATTCCTTTTTTGAGTCAATTTATGTAATTTATGTGTTTCTAGGTATTTGTCCATTTCATCTAGGTTATCCAATTTTTGGTGTATAATTGTTCATAGGATTCTTTTATAATGCTTTTTATTACTGTTTGTTCAGAAATAATGTACCTGCTTTCATTTCTGATTTTGATTATTTGCATATTCATGTGTATGTGTGTGTCAGTCAAGCTAAAGGTTTGTCAAAATTGATTTTTTTCAATAAACTAACTTTTGGTTTCATTGATCTCACTATTGTTTTTCCATGATCTATTTTTATTTATTTCTACTCTGATCTTTGTTTCCCTCTTTGTGTTAGCTTTTGGTTTAGTTTGCTCTTCTTTTTCTTGAGCCTTAACGTATGAAGTTAGTTTATTGATTTGAGATATATTTTCTTTTTTTTTATGTAGGCATTTACAGCTATACATTTCCCTCTGAGTACTGCCTTTATTGCATCCTATAAGTTTTGGTATGTTGTGTTTTCATTTTCATTTGTCTCTAAGTGTTTTCTAATTTCTCTTATTTCTTAAACTTATAATTTATTTAAGAATGTGTTGTTGGCCAGGCGTGGTGGCTCAGGCCTGTAATCCCAACACTTTGGGAGGCCGAGATGGGTGGATCACCTGAGGTCAGGAGTTTGAGAGCAGCCTGGCCAACATGGTGAAACCCTATCTCTACTAAAAATACAAAAATTAGTCGGGCATGGTGGCAGACACCTGTAATCCCAGCTACTTGGGAGGCCGAGACAGGAGAATCGCTTGAACCTGGGAGGCAGAGGTTGCAGTGAGCCGAGCCCATGCCATTGCACTCCAGCCTGGGCGACAGAGTGAGACTCCATCAAGAAAAAAAGAATGTGTTGTTGGCCAGGCATGGTAGCTCACACCTGTAATCCTAGCATTTTGGGAGGCCAAGGTGGGTGGATTGCTTGAGCTCAGGAGTTTGAGACAGCCTGGGCAACATGGTGAAACCTCATCTCTACAAAAAAATACAAAAATTAGTCGGCCATAGTGGTGTGTACTTGTAGTCCCAGCTATTTGGGGGACTGAGGTAGATGGATCACTTGAGCCCAGGAAGTGGAGGTTGCAGTGAGCCAAGATCATGCCACTGCCTTCCAGCCTGGGAGATACAATAAGACCCTGTCTAAAAAAAAAAAAAAAAAAAAAAAAAAAATTGTTGGTTAATGACCATATATTTGTGGATTTTTTCGCCTATTATTGATTTTTAGATTTATTCCATTGTGGTCAGAAAAGATACTTTGTATGATTTCAAACTTTTTAAATTTATTGGGACTTGATTTGTATTCTAACATATGGTCTATCTTGGAGAATCTTCTGTGTACACTTGAGAAGAATGTATATTCTGCTGTTACTGGGTGGAGTGTTCTATATATGTCTTTAGGTCTAGTTGGTTTATGGTGTTGTTCATGCTTTCTATATCCTTAATCTTCTGCCTAGATTTTCTATCTGTTATTAAAAGTGGGACGTTGGCTAGGTATAGTGGCTTATGCCTGTAATCCCACCACTTTGGGAAGCTGAGGCAGGAGGATCATTTGAGGCCAGAAGTTTGAGATTGGCCTGGGCAACATAGCAAGACTCCGTTTCTGGAAAAAAAAAAAAAAAGTCAAGTGGTGGTATGCACCTGTATTCCTAGTTACCCGGGGGGTTTGAGGCAGGGGGATTGCTTAAGCCCAGGAGTTGGAAGCTGTGCTATGATCACACCATAGTACTCTAGCCTGGACAACAGAGCAAAACCCTGTCTCTAAACATAAAACATAACAAAAAGTGGGACATTGAAGTCTACAGCTATTATTGTAGAATGATTTCTCCCTTCACTCCTGTCAATATTTGCTTCATACATTTGGAACTCTGATGTTTGGTGAATATATGCTTATAACTATATAATTATATATAATATATACTTATAATTATATAATCTTGATGATCAACTTATTAATAAATTAATTATTTATTGATATATAATGTCCTTGTCCCTTGTAATAGTTTTTGGCATAAAGCCTGTTTTGTCCAATATTAGTATAGCAACCCCAGCTCCCTTTTGGGAACTATCTGCATGGAATATCTTTTTCTATCCTTTCACTTTCAACCTGTGTGTTTTAATTTAAAGTGTGTTTCTTGTAGACAGCATATAGTTGGTTCATGTTTTTAAAAACCCATTTTGTCATTCTCTGTCTTGATTGGAAAGTTTCGTCTATTTACATTTAAAGTAATTACTGATAAGAAAAGACTTCTGCCACTTTGCTATTTGTTTTCTATATATCTTATAATTTTTTGTCCCTTGTTTTCCTTTTGTATTTTGTTAATTTTCAGTAGTGAACCATTGTGATTCCCTTTTCATTTCCTTTGTGTATAGTCTGCTGGTATTTTCTTTGTGAAGAAGACTACAGTAAAATCAAATTTTACTGTGGGGCTTACATTTTCCATCAGTATTAGTTTGCTAGGGCTGCCATAACAAAATACTGTAGACTGGGTGGTTTAAACAACAGAAAATTTATTTTCTCACTATTCTGGAGGCTAGAAGTTGGAGACCAAAATGTCAGTAGAGTTGTTTCTTTAAGCACTTTAAAATATGTCATCCTGTTGCCTCTGGACTCCATGATATCTGATGAGAAATTGGGAGTAATCTTATTGAGCATAATTTGTACATGATGAGGTGCTTCTTGGTGCTTTCAAGGTTGTCTTTGGCTTTCAACAGTTTGATTATGATGGGTTTGAGTGTGGGTCTCTTTGATTTTTATCTTACTTGAAATTTGGTGAGCCTCTTGGTTTTGCAGATTCATGTCTTTTATCAAATCCAGCCCAGGGCTTTTTAATTTATCTGTTTTTATTTTTGTTTATTTATATTTTATTTTCAGTGGAAAATCTTTAGGGGTTTCTTTGAGGTTTGGGGCCCTATTGTCACAGGCGTGTGAACCAGAGCAATTCCATCTTAAATAGGAGCTGGACAAAATGAGGCTGAAACCTACTGGACTGCATTCCCAGATGGTTAAGGCATTTTAAGTCACAGGGTGAGACAGGAGGTCAGCACAAAATACAGGTCATAAAGACCTTGCTGATAAAACAGTTTGCAGTAAAGGAGCCGGCCAAAACCCACCAAAACCAAAATGGCAATGAGAGTGACCTCTGGTTGTCCTCACTGCTACACTCCACCAGCACCATGACAGTTTACAAATGCCATGGCAACATCAGGAAGTTACTCTATGTGGTCTAAAAAGGGGAGGAATGAATAGTCCACCCCTTGTTTAGCGTATCATCAAGAAATAACCATAAAAATGGATGAACAGCAGCCCTCGGGGCTGGTCTGTCTATGGAGTAGACATTCTTTTATTCCTTTACTTTCTTAATAAACTTGCTTTCACTTTGCACTGTGGACTCACCCTGAATTCTTTCTTGCATGAGATCCAAACCCTCTCCTGGGGTCTGGATTGGGACCCCTTTCCTGTAACATATTTTCCTGTCCTGTAACACTATGGTTTAAATATTTTAAATATAAATTAAACATAATGAATACTTTTGTAGAAGAAGTTAAACACTTTTTTCATTTCTTATGAATAATCAAAGGGTTGTAATCTGGGTTGGCTCATAATAGATTTGTTTTTTCATTCTGTATGTTCATTATCACAAACCATTTCTCATTTGAAGGAAGGATGTGACTAGCTTTTTGGGGTTCTGGCTTGCAGTGTACAGTGTTTCTTTGGGTTGATGGAACCCTTGTGTGATATTGTGAAATACATATAATGGTCTTCATCCCTGTTTCCTGACATATAACTTGTAAAACACTTGGAATCTCTGGAGTTATGAGTGTCTCTTCTATGCTAATGAGATGACTGGTGGCTGGGGCCCTTATAGCTTCCAAATAGGGGCTGGTTACAGGAAAGACCAAGGCATGATTAGAGGGTTGAGGCTTTTAGCTCCACCCACCAACCTGCGGGGAGAGGAGAGAAGCTGAAGGTTAAGTTGACCACCAGTGGCCAATGATTTAATCAGTCATCCCTATGTAGAGCTCCCAAACAGCTGGATGCTCCTTATCAGGCTGAGGAAGTTCCCTCTTATTTATTTGCTTATTTATTAATTTTTATCATGAAAGAGTGTTAAATTTTGTCAAATGCCTTTATTCTTTCTGTTGAGATAACCGTGTGGTTTTGTTTTTTTATCAATGTGGTGTATTACATTGATTGATTATTGTATGCTTAACTGATGTTGCATTCCTAAGTTCCACCTCGCTGTGATGTACAATCATTTTTACATGTTGCTACATTCAGTTTGCTAGTATATTATAGAGGACTTTTATGTTCAATTAATAAGAGAGATATTGATCTGTAGTTTTCTTGTGATATTTTTGTCTGATTTTGGTATCAGGGTAATACTGGCCTCACAAAATGAGTTGGAAGGTGTTTCCTCCTCTTCTGTTTTTAGGAAGATGTTGAGAAGGATTGGTGTTAATTCTTTTTTAAATGTTTAATAAAATTCAGTGGTGAAGCCACCTGGTCCTGGGCTTTACTTTATGGGAAATTTTTCTATTACTAATTCCATCTTCACTTGTTATAGGTCTATTCAAGTTTAGCATTTCTTATTGAGTCCTTTTCATTAATTCGTATCTTTCTAGGAATTTCTATGTTATCTGGGTTATCTAATATTTAGCATACAATTATTTATAATATTCTCTTGTAATCCTTTTTATTTTTGTAAGGTTGGTAGTGATGTCCTCTTATTCATGCTTTTAGCAATTTCAGTCTTCTCTCTTTTTTATTAGTCTAGCCTCTTTTCTATTAGTCAAAAATGGGGCCTTTCAGGTGGGGTTTCAGGCTTTGGTGAAATGGGGATGGGAAGAAATGGGAAGGGTGACTTGTGAAAATACCTCATTGCAGGGCCTGTGTATTTTGCAAAGAAGACGTTCATTAAGCCACGCTTCTCAGACATGAGTGTGCACGGGTATGAGGTGCTGTGTTTCTGGCCAGTTCCTGGAGGCACCAAAGCTGCTGGTCTGCAGACTCTGTTAGGTGAGGGGCTGGAGGGCTTTGCTTTCTTATTCATGGGCTTCTTTCCTTGGTGACTTGAGATCATCTAAGTGGAGTAAACAAGAGTGGAACTCTATACACACGATAGTTCTTAACTTTTTGAAATTTCCTCTTTTTATAGCAGGATGAGACAAATTGTTCAAAAGTTTATTCAGCTTCTTCCTGAGCTTGCTGTGAGCTGATGACTTTACTAATTCCTTTCCTCATTGTTTCTGATCCTATTCCTTGGGGAAAAGGCTTCCTTGTGACACAGAAGCCAGTTCTTCCACATCTACTTCTTTCTTTGAAGAAGATGGGGGAGCAAAACTGCTTCCTACTTTTCTTTGACCTTTTCCTGAGGTTCAGCTAAAATGAGGTGGGCATACAAACCTTGGTCTTTTTCCAGGTTGGTAACTTTTGCCTCTATTTAAAATTTCATTTTTCTGCCTAAGTCCCTGAGGGACACACTAGCTGGCACACTCACCTTGTCCTTCACAGTGGAAGATGAGAAGCTCTAGATGAGGGTGCGGGCCAGGAGGCGGGAAGTCTGGACACTGTTGCTCTGTTGCTTTCCAGCCCCAGGTGGTCCTGGGGGTCCTGGACCTCCTCCAGGGCTGCCGCGTGGACTCTGACAGCCCAGGGTACTGCTGCGCTGTGCGGCTCTCCCCTTCTTCCTCTCCATCCTTGATTATTTCAAGGCCTGTGTCCTGTGCATGGAGCCAGACGCAGCACAGACCCCAGGGGCACCCTAGAGTCCAGTTCCAGCAGGCTCTGCTCCCTGGATGTCCACAGGCCCTGACACTCATTATGTCCAAATCCAAGGGTTGTCTTCCCTGGAAAGTCCGATTCTGTCTCTCGCATTTCCTAGTCATGTGACTCACACTACCTTCTCAGTCATTCTGATTTTATTTTATTTATCTATTTTTTTGAGATGGAATCTCGCTCTATCGCCCAGGCTGGAGTGCAGTGGTGCGATCTCGGCTCACTGCAACCTCCGCCTCCCGGGTTCAAGTGATTTTCCTGCCTCAGCCTCCCGAGTAGCTGGGACTACAGGCACGTGCCACCACGCCCGGCTAATTTTTGGTATTTTTAGTAGAGACAGGGTTTCACCATATTAGCCAGGATGGTCTCGATCTCCTGACCTCATGATCTGCCCGCCTTGGCCTCCCAAAATGTTGGGATTACAGGTGTGAGCCACCGCGCGTGGCCATCATTCTGATTTTAAACCTTAGAACAGGCTGGGTGCAGTGGCTCATGCCTGTAATCCCAGCACTTTGGGAGGCTGAGGCGGGTGGATCACCTGAGGTCAGGAGTTCGAGATTAGCCTGACCAATATGGTGAAACCCTGTCTCTATTAAAAATACAACAATTAGCAAGGTGTGGTGGTGTGCCTGGAATCCCAGCTACTCGGGAGGCTGCAGAAGAGTTGCTGGAACTCGGGAAGCAGGGGTTGCAGTGAGCTGAGATCATGTCACTGCACTTCAGCCTGGGCAACAGAGCAAGACTCCACCTCAAACAAACAAACAAACAAACAAAAAACCTTAGAACAAACTGCAAAAGTAATCAAATGGATTAAAGTTTGGGGAAAGCCAGAAAAGCACAAGGTAGGAAATAAATCACCTGTAATCCCAGCCTCCAGAGAGAACCACTGAAAATGCCTGAGGGTATTTCCTTCCACTTCTTTTCCTAATCACACATTGCTTCCCCTTCCACACTTCAGAAGCAATATGTGATTAGGAAAAAAAGTGGAAGGAAATATGTGTTCGACGTGTTTTCACTGAATAACACAGTCTTGACGTTTCTCCATTTCACTGATTGGTTTTTCTAAATCATTATTTTTAGTGGCTGCAAAAAGCACCCCTTTTGGAAATCATCTTGAATTTTTCTTCTTAACCATACTGAGTCTTTCTTCACCTATTGTTGGGTATTGTGGTTGTTTCCAATTTCTCAACCTGATTCAGCACTGCTGTGAGCAGCACGCATAAATCTGTGCTGTCATCCCCACCCTGCTGTTTGTCATTTGAATTACTGTTGGGCTCCAACTGATGTCACACCTCCTTCCCCTCCCAAGCAAGCCCTAGCCTGGAACAGATTTTTTTCTTTTACGATAGGTGAAATCAGCAGGTTTTTCTTATATGAACTTTGGGTTTTATGTCATGCCTTTTCTACTCTGAGATGATAAAAATATTTTCTTCATGGTTTCTTCTCATATTTTTATGTTTAATCTTTCACTTTTAAAGCATTGGCACATTAAGAATTTATTTCTGGCCAGGCATGGTGGCTCACTTCTGTAATCCCAGCACTTTGGGAGACTGAGGCAGGCGGATCACTTGAGCCCAGCAGTTGGAGACCAACCTGAGCAACATGGTGAAACCCTGTCTCTATAAAATACAAAAAAATGAGCCAGGTGTGGTGGTATGCACCTGTAATCTCAACTACTTGGGAAGCTGAGATGGGAGGATGGCTTGAGCCCCAGGTCAAGGCTGCAGTGAGCTGTGATTGCACCACTGCACTCCAGCCTGGGCGACAGAGCAAGACCCTGCCTCAAAAAAAAAAATTTACTTCCTAGACACCTACCCAGTCATCCCAACACCATTTATTGAGTAATCCATCTTTTTTTCAGTGATGTGAAATATCACTGAATATCAGTATGTTGATCACATACTGATTTCCTGTGTGTTTTGATTTATTTCTGGGCTCTGTTCAGTTTCACTTTTTCATCTAAAAAAGTCAGTGCCTCACAGTTTTAATCATGGCAGCTTTATATTTTCATATCTTAGGGCCAGTCCTTTCTTTTTACCCTTTGTATTAGTTCATTCTCACACCGCTACAAAGAACTACATGAGACTGGGTAATTTATAAAAAAAAGAGGTTTAATTGACTCACAGTTCTGCAGGCTTAACAGGAAGCATGAGTGGGAGGCCTCAGGAAACTTATAATCATGGTGGAAGGTGAAGGGGAAGCAAGCACATCTTACCATAGCGGAGCAGGGGAGAGACAGTGAAGGGAGAAATGCCACACGCTTTTCCACCATCAGATCTTGTGACAGCCACTATCACGAGAACAGCGAGGGAGAAATCCACCCCATGATCCAATCACTTCCCACCAGGTCCTTCCCCGGACACATGGGATTTTAATCCAACATGAGATTTGGGTGGGGACACACAGCCAAACCATATCACTCTTTACTTCCAGAATTTTCTTAGCTCTTCTTCTCTGAACTGTTTCAACTCACACTTCTTGGTGTGGGTTTTTTTTCCTCACATCAACCAATTTTCCAACTCTTTGGATACCAACTGGATATCCCAAATTCTATTCAGTTCTGACGCTATTTGGAGTGCAGACTCTTAAATGAAGGGTTCAGTTCTACAAGACTGTCTCCACTTCAGGTGCCAATTGCAAGTTTGAGTCTCCCATACTTTTTTTTTTTTTTTTTTTTTTTTTTTTTGAGATGGAGTCTCGCTCTGTTACCCAGGCTGAAGTGCAGTAGAGCAATCTCAGCTCACTGCAGTCTCCGCCTCCCGGGTTTAAGTGATTCTCCTGCCTCAGCCTCCTGAGTAGCTGGGATTACAGGCACCTGCCACCACACCCAGCTAATTTTTGTATTTTTAGTAGAGAGGGAGTTTCACCATGTTGGCCAGGATGCTCTCAATCTCTTGACCTAGTGACCTGCCCGCCTCAGCCTCCCAAAGTGCTGGGATTATAGGCGTGAGCCACCGTGCCCACCTGGGTCTCCTATATTTCTGAATGACTGGAATAAAGTCAGAGGCTTCCCACAACCCCCTCCTCAGATTCGATAATTTGCTAGAATAGCTCACAAAACTCACGAAAACACTTTACTTACCATTACCAGTTTATTATGAAGGATACACCTCTGGAATAGTCAAATGGAAGAGATGCACAGGACAAGGCATGAGGTGGGTGTGGAGCCTCCATGCCCTCTCCAGGAACCCACCCTCCCAGTACCTTGATGTGTTTATCAGTCCAGAAGCTCTTCCAACCCTGTTTTTTAAGAGTTTTATGGAGGACTCCTTACCTAGGCGTGATTGATTAAATAATTGGCCACTGGTAATTAACTCAAACTCCAGCTCTTCTCCCAGTCCTGGAGGTCAGGGGTAGGGCTGAAAGTTCTACCCCTCTAATCATGGCTTGATATTTCTGGCAAGCAGCCTCATCCTGAAACTATCTAAGGCTCTCTCCTCATGAGGGGCTGACTCATTAGAACAAAAGATGCTCCTATCACCCAGGAAATTGCAAGTATTTAGGAGCTCTGTGTTAGCAACTGGGGACAAAGACCAAATATACATTTCTTACTGCATCACACCATCACGTAGTATATGAACTTTAGAATCACTTGACTAAATTTTTTTCTTCGATTGGGATTCATGCTAAATTCATGGAGCAATTTAGGTAAAAAGTGACGTTTTTACAGAATTAATTCACCCCCAAAATAAGGTATACCTTTACATTTATTTATACCTTTTTTTTTTTTTTTTTTTTTTTTTTGAGACGGAGTCTCGCTCTGTCGCCCAGGCTGGAGTGCAGTGGCGCGATCTCGGCTCATTGCAAGCTCCGCCTCCCGAGTTCACGCCATTCTCCTGCCTCAGCCTCTTGAGTAGCTGGGACTACAGGCGCCCACCACCAAGCCCGGCTAGTTTTGTTTTTGTATTTTTAGTAGAGACGGGGTTTCACCGTGTTAGCCAGGATGGTCTCGATCTCCTGACCTTGTGATCTGCCCGCCTTGGCCTCCCAAAGTGCTGGGATTGCAGGCGTGAGCCACCGCGCCCGGCTGTTTACATCTTTAAGTTCCTCAGGAGCACTGTTCAAAATTCAAAAGGAACAAATGAGCATATGGGAAAAGTTTCCCCGCTGTTGTAGGGAACAGGGACTATGTTTCCTAGTCACTGTTTCCTTCCCACAGGCAATCTGTGTTACTGGTTTCTTGTGCATACATTCCATGATTTTAAGCTAATTTAGCACTTAAACAAATGCTTGCCTATGTGTATCTTATTTTGCATTATGCTTATGCTTTTTCACTTATAAATATATCTTGGTAATTTTTTTCATATCTACACGAGTTTCCTCATTTTGTAAAAATGATACATGGCTTGTGGGTTTTTAAAAATAGTTGATTTTGGAGGCCAGGTGCAGTGACTCATGCCTGTAATCCCAGCACTTGTGGGAGGCCAAGGCAGGTGGATCATGAGGTCGGGAGTTCGAGACCAGCCTGGCCAACATAGTGAAACCCCATCTCTACTAAAAGTACAAAAATTAGCTGGGCATGGTGGCGGGTGCCTGTAGTCCCAGCTATTCAGGAGGCTGAGGCAGGAGAATCACTTGAACCTGCGAGGTGGAGGTTGCATTGAGCCAAGATCACGCCATTGCACTCCAGCCTGAGTGACAGAGTGAGACTCCATCTCAAAAACAAACAAACAAACAAAACTTGATTTTTAAGGGCAGTTTTTAGGTTTACAACAAAATTGAGAAGAAGCTTTTCAAAAGTTTTTGAACTATGGGTGTTCCCCATACCCTCTGCCGTCCCCCATTAGCAACTCCCCCAGCAGAGTGGCACATTGGTTACAGCTGATGAACCTACATTGACACATCGTTATCACCCAGAGCCCCTAGTTTACATTAGGATTCACTCTGCTGTTGTACATTCTGTGGGTATGGACGAATGTATAATGACATGCATCTACCATTATAGAGTATTTTCACTGCCCTAAAAATCTGCTGTGCTTTGCTTCTGTGTCCCCTTACCCCATGGCAACTACTAAGCTGTTTACTGTCTCTACACTTTTGCCTTTTCCAGGCTGTCAATAGTTGGAATCGTACAGTATGTAGCCCTTTCAGATCGGCTTCATTCACTTAGTAATATGCATTAAAGGTTCCTCTGTGTCTCTTCATTCCTTGATAGCTCAATTCTTTTTAGTGCTGAATAAAATTCCATTGTCTGGATGCATCACAGTTTATCCATTCACTAACTGAAGGATATCTTGGTTGTTTCCAAGCTTGAGCAATTATGAATAAGGCCATTGTAAACATTCATGTGAAGGATTTTATGTGAACATAAAATTTCAGCTCCTTTGGGTATATACCAAGGACATGATTATTGGATCATTTGGTAAGATTGCATTTAGTTTTGTGAAAAACTACCAAACTGTCTTCCAATGCGGCTGTATCATTTTTGCCTTCCCACCAGCAATGAATGAGACGTCCTGTTGCTTCACATCCTCATCAGCATTTGGTGTTGTCTGTGTTCTCGAGTCTGGCCATTCTAACAGGTGTGTAGTGGTATCTCACTGTTGTTTTAGCTTGTGCTTCCCCGATGACATATGGTGTGGTGCATCTTTTTATATCCTTATTTGCCATCTGTAGATCTTCTCTGGTGAAGTCTTTGTGAAGATCTTTGACCCATTTTAATATCAGATTGTTTTCTTATTGCTGAGTTTTAAGAGTGCTTTGTATATTTTGGATCTTTATGTGCATTTTGCAAATATTTTGTCCCAGTCTGTGGCTTTTCTTCTCATCCTCTTCACATTCTCTTACAGAGCAGGTTTTTAACTTTAATGGAATCCAGCTGATCAGTTATTTCCGTCACAGAATGTGCCTTTGTTGTGGTATCTAAAAAGTTTTCAGTATACCCATGCTCACCTAGGTTTTCTCTTATGCTGTCTTCTAGGAGTTTTACATTTTATATTTGGGCCTATGAGCCAATTTGAGTTAATCTGTGTGAAGGTTGTAAGGTCTGTGTCTAGATTCTTTTTTTTTTTTTTTTTGTATGTGGATGTTCAATTCTAGCACAATTTAGTAAAAAAAAACAAAAACAAAAACACAAAACTGTCTTTGTTTCATTGTGTTGCTTTGCTCCCTTGTCAAATATCAGTTGACTATATTTATGTGGGGTCCATTATTTCTGGCACTCTATTTTGTTCCATTGATCTATTTATTCTTTCGCCCTACTGCATCTTTTTGAATACTGTGGCTTTATAGTAAGTCTTGAAGTCAGGTAGTATCAGTCTTCCAACTTTGTTCTTCTCCCTTAGTATCCTGTTGGCTATTCTGGGTCTTTTGCCTCTCCAGTAAACTGTAAAATCAGTTTGTTAAGATCCACAAAATAGCTTGCTGGGATTTTGATTGTGGTTACATTGAATCTAGATGAAGCTGTGAAGAAATTACATCTTGGCAATATTGAGTCTTCCTATCTATGAACATGGAATAGCTCTTCATTTATTCAGCTCTTCTTTGATTTCTTTCATATAAGATTTGTAGTTTCCCTTATAAAGATCTTGTATATATTTTGTTAGATTTATATATAAGTATTTCATTTTGAGGTGGGGGGGCTAACATAAATACTATTGTGTTTTTAATTTCAAATTCTACTTATTGTTGGTATAGGAAAGTGACTGACTTTTGTTTTTTAACATTGTACTCTGTAACCTTGCCATAATGGCTTATTCCAGGTTTTTTTATTCTTTTGGATTTTCTACATAGGTAATCATGTCATCTGCGAACACAGTTTTATTTCTTCCTTCTTATTCAGTATATCCTTTCTCTGCACTGGACTGCAGTCCAGTGTTGAAAAGGAATGGTGACAGGGACCTCCTTGCATTGCTCCTGTTGTTAGCAGGAAAGCTTCTAGTTTCTCACTATTCAGTATGATAACTGTGGTTTTTCATACTTGGGATAAATCCTATCTGGTTGTGAAGTGTAATTCTTTTTACACATTGCTGGATTCTATTTGCTAATATTTTGTTGAGGATTTTTGTATCTAGGTTCATGAAAGATATTGGTCTGTCATTTGCTTGCCATGTCTTTGTCTGGTATGTGTATGAGTCTGGCCCCATATAATGAGTTATAAAGTATCCCTTCTGCTTTGATCTTCTGAACCAGATTGTAAAATAAGGGTATAATTTCTTCCTTATATGTCTAACAGAATTCACAAGTGAACCCATTTGAGCCTGGCATTTTCTGTTTTGAAAAGTTATTAATTATTGATTTCTTTAATAGATATAGGCTTATTCAGATTGATTGTTTCTTGTGAGTTTTGGCAGATTGTGTCTTTCAAAGAATTGGTCCTTTTCTTTCTTTCTTTTTTTTGACACTGAGTCTCACTCTGCTGCCCAGGCTGGAGTGCAGTGGCATGATCTCGGCTCACTGCAACCTCCGCCTCCCAGATTCAAGCGATTCTCCTGCCTCAGCCTCCTGAGTAGCTGGGATTGTAGGTGCCTGCCACCACACCTGGCTAATTTTTATATTTTTAGTAGAGACAGGGTTTTACCATGTTGGCCAGGCTGGTCTTGAACTCCTGACCTCAAGTGATCCACCTGCCTCGGCCTCCCAAAGTGTTGGGATTACAGGCATGAGCCACCATGCCCGGCCGAATTGGTCCTTTTCATCTAGGTTATCAAATTTGTGGGTGTGGAGTTATTCATAGTATTCCTTTATCTTTTTAATGTCTATGAGATCTGTAGTGATATCCTCTCTTTTGTTTCTGATATTAGTAATTTGTGTCTTCTTTTATTCTCAGTAAACCTGGCTAAAGCCTTATCAATTTTGTGGTCTTCTCCAAGAACCAGCTTTTGGTTTCATTGACTTTATTTCCTGTTTTTAATATCATTGATTTCTGGTCTAATTTTTTACTATTTCTTCTGTTTATTTTGGATTTCATTTGTTCTTTTTCCAGTTTCCTAAGGTAGAAGCTTAGATAATTAATTGTATACTGTATTCTTTTCTAATACACACATTAAATGCTATAAACTTCCCTCTAAACACTGCTTTCACTGTATGCCACAAATTTTGGTAAGTTGTGTTTTAATTTTCATTTAGTTTAAAATATTTGAAAATTTCTTGAGGTTTCTTCTTTGGCCCATGTGTTAATTATGTGTGTTTTTTTGTTTTTGTTTTTGACACAGGGTCTCACTCTGTTGCCCAGGCTGGAATGCAGTGGTGCCATCATGACCGACTGCAGCCTTGACTTCCCAGGCTCAAGAGTTCCTCTCACCTCAGCCCCCTGAGTAGCTGGGACTACAGATGCATGCCATCATGCCTGGCTAATTTTTGTATTTTTTGCTGAGACAGGGTCCCACTGTGTTTCTCAGGCTAGTCTTGAACTCCTGGTCTCAGGTGATCCTCCTGCCTCGGCCTCCCAAAGTGCTGGGATTATAGATGTGAGCCATGGTGCCCGGCCCTAGAAGTATGTTCATTAATCTCCACATATTTTGAATATTTCCAATTGTCTTTCTGTTATTGATTACAGGTTAATTCCATTGTCTTCTGAGAGAAGATACTGTCTGATTTTTATTTTTAATTAATTAATTAGGAAACAGGGTTTTGCTCTGTTACCCAAGCTGGTGTGCAGTGGTGCAATCGTGGCTTCTTACAGTCTCGAACTCCTGGGCTCATGTGATTCTACTACCTCAGCCTCCCAAGTAGCTGGGACCACAGGTGTGTACCTCCACACCCAGTCATTTTTAGAATTTTTTGTAGAGACAGGGTCTCACCATGTTGCTCAAGCTGGTCTTGAACTCCTGGGCTCAAGTTGACCCTCCTACCTTGGCTTCCCAAAGTGCTGGTATTACAGGAATGAGCAACTGCACCTGGCCTAATTTGTTTTTTTTGTTTTTTGTTTTCTTTTCTTTTTTTTGAGACGGAGTCTCACTCTGTCACCCAGGCTGGAGTGCAGTGGCACCATCTCGGCTCACTGCAAGCTCTGCCTCCCGGGTTCTCACCATTCTCCTGCCTCAACCTCCCAAGTAGCTGGGATTACAGGTGCCCGCCACCACACCCAGCTAATTTTTTTGTATTTTTAGTAGGGACAGGGTTTCACCGTGTTAGCCAGGATGGTTTTGATCTCCTGACCTCGTGATCTGCCCGCCTCGGCCTCCCAAAGTGCTGGGTTTACAGGCGTGAGCCACTGCGCCTGGCCTAATTTCCTTTTTTAAATGTGTTAAAGTGTGTTTTATAACCCAGGATATGGTCTGTCTTGGTGAATGTTCCATGTGGGGTTGAGGAGAAAGGGTAATCTGCTGTTGTTGGCTGAACTAGTCTATAGATGTCAGTTATATCCAGTTGACTGATAGTGTTGTAGGATTCAACTATGTCCTTACTAAATTTTCTGCCAGCTGAATCTGTTTACTTCTGATAAAAGAGTGTTGCAATCTCCCAGTGTAATAGTGGATTAATCTTTTCTCCTTACAGTTCTATCAGTTTGGGGCTCATGTAGTTTGATATTATGTTGTTTGGTGTATACATGTTAGGGATTATTATGTCTTGGAGAAATGATCTCTTTATCATAATCTAATGACCTTCTTTATCCTTGATAACTTTCCTTGCTTTTAAGTCTCCTCTGTTTGCAATTAATGTAACTACTCCTTTCTTTTTTTTTTTTTGAGACAGAGTCTCGCTCTGTCATGAGGCTAGAGTGCTGTGGCGCGTTCTTGGCTCACTGCAACCTCTGCCTCCCAGGTTCAAGCGATTCTCCTGCCTTAGTCCCCCTGAGTAGCTGGGACTACAGGTGTGCAACACCACGCCCAGCTAATTTTTGTATTTTTAGTAGAGACAGGGTTTCACCATGTTGTCTAGGATGGTCTTGCTTTCTTTTGATTAGTGTTAGTGTGGTATATTTTCTCCATCCATTTAATCTATGTGTTTTTCATTTTTTGGGTTTTTTTTTTTTTTTTTTTTTTTTTGAGACAGAGTTTCGCTCTTGTTGCCCAGGCTGGAGTGCAATGGCATAATCTTGGTTCAACAACCTCTGCCTCCTGGGTTCAAGCGATTCTCCTGCCTCAGCCTCTCGAGTAGCTGGGATTACAGGCATGTGTCACCACACCCTGCTAATTTTGTACTTTTAGTAGAGACAGAGTTTTTCCATGTTGGTCAGGCTGGTCTCGAACTCCTGACCTCAGGTGATCCACCTGCCTCTACCTCCCAAAGTGATAGGATTACAGACCTGAGCCACCGTGCCCGGCCTGGCTTTTTTTTAAAAATGGGTGTGGCTCTCACTATGTTGCCCAGGCTGGTCTCAAACTCCTGGCCTCAAGTGATCCTCCCACCTTGGCCTCCCAAAGCCCTGGGACTACAGGCATGAGCCACCACATTTGGCCTCAAATATTTCTTCTGTTCTTTTCTTTCTGTATTTTCCCTCTGCTATTCTTATAACATGTATATTACAACTTTTTAGCTCCATAGTCCTTGGATATTTTGCTCAGTCCTATTCTCTTTAATTTTCAGTTTTGTAGGTTTCTATTTGACATGTCTTCAAGCTGAGAGATTCACTCCTAATTCATGTCCAGCCTATTAATGAGCCCATCAAAAGCACTTTTCATTCATTCGCAGTGTTTTTGCTATAAACAAAACAGTGCTTTCCTCCTCTCTTTGCTGGAAGTATGAGGGAATTTTCCTGTTATATTTACTGTGAGAACTGTGAAGCTCTTGGAGGTAAAATTCACGAAAGTGCAGGCGGGGGGCACCCCTTATAACTGGGTTCCCCAGGAGTTTTAATTCTTAGACTGTCCACATTGAGCCTCCACCAATTCTTCAATTACTGACAGGTTCTTCTACCCTGGCACTGGTTCCCATGGTGGTTTCCACTCATGAATCTCTGCTCCAGTAAGATATAATTTCCTGTATTTGCCTGCTGGTCTCTCCTATCTTAGGGGCAGCAGTTTGACTTGTATCCTCACCTTTCTTACAGATCTAGGAAGAGCTGTTGATTTTTCAGGCTGTTTAGCTTTTTACTTGTTAGAATGAAGTGGCGACTTTCAAGTTCCTTACATGCGGATCTGGAAAATAAGTCTCCTCATTCTTTTTTACAGTTGCATAGTATTCTGTTGTATGGTCATACCTGTAACTTGTTTACTTACTCTTCTTAAATGATAGACAATTTGTTTCCAGTCTTTTACTAATATAAGTAGTAAATAATAAATAATTTTGTAGACTATTATTTCCCACGTGTAAATATCTTTAGGCTAAAATCCTGGAAGTAGAATTGCCAGGTCACACTGCATGTACATTTGCAATTTGGATAGATTTGGCAAATTTGTAATTAGGTTGTACTAATTATACTCACCTGCCATGTCATTTCCACTCATTCTTCTTTTTTTTACCACCCACCCCCGCCCCCTCCCCGAGAGAGTCTTGCTCTGTCACCCAGGCTGGAGTGCAGTGGCGCCATCTCGGCTCACTGCAACCTCTGCCCCCTGGGTTTAAGCAATTCTTCTGCCTCAGTCTCTGGAGTAGCTGTGATTATAGGTGCCCGCCACCACGCCTGGCTAATTTTTATATTTTTAGTAGAGACAGGGTTTCACTATGTTGGACAGGCTGGTCTCAAACTCCTGACCTTATGATCTGCCTGCCTTGGCCTCCTAAAGTGCTGGGATTACAGGCGTGAGCCACTGCAACCGGCCCACACATTCTTATTAACATACTATATTATCAAACTTTTTATTCTTTACTCATCTTAAAGGTGAAAAATATCTCAAATTGGTTCTAATTTGCATTTGATTACTATCAGTGTAGTATAAACTTTAAGAACCTTTTGTTTTTCTACAAACTTTCTGTTCATAACATTTTTAAATTTTTTCTACCGTACTGTTCATTTTCTCATATAAAAATTTTAAAAATCAGTATTATGGAAGTAAGCTTTTATAAAATGAATTATAAACATTTCCTTGCTTTTGACATATTGTCATTTGTCACATAAAATATTTTGATTTTTATTGTTGATTTTTTAATTGTGTTTTCATATGGCTTCTGTTTTGTGTACTACTTTCTCTGCTTAAAATATGTGCCTATAGTCCCAGCTACTCAAGGAGGCTGAGGTGGGAGAACTGTTTGAGCCTGGGAGGTAGAGGCTGCAGTGAGCCTGATTGCGCCACTGCACTCCAGCCTGGGCAACAGAGACCTGTCTCAAAAGAAGAAAAAATATCCTAGCTGCCTTGGCCCTAGCTGCCTTTAAAAAATCAATGTACTTCACCACTAGACTTAATAAATATTAACATTTTTCTGTGTCTACCTTTTTTTTTTTTTTTTTTTTTTTTGAGATGGAGTCTTGCTCTGTCACCAGGCTGGAGTGCAGTGGTACGATCTCAGCTCACTGCAACCTCTGCCTCCCGGGTTCAAGCGATTCTCCCACCTCGGTCTCCCAAGTAAGTGGGATCACAGGCGCCCGCCACTATGCCCAGCTACTTTTTTTTTGTATTTTTAGTAGAGACGGGATTTCACCATATTGGCCAGGCTGGTCTTGAACTCCTGACCTCAGGTGACCCGCCTGCCTCGGCCTCCGAAAGTAGTGGGATTACAGGCATGAGCCACCATGCCCTGCTTCTGCTTTATGTATTATTTCAAAAATAGAAAATACACATAGTTCCCTCTGAATGTTTTCCCAGCACCAGACCCCTCCCCAGCCTCCATAGGTAACTGCCATTGTCAAGTTGGAGTATATACTTCTGGTCTTGATCAGAGTCCTTAATTTTGAGACTGGAGAACTCCTCTAGCTGGTTTAAGCTGAAGGGATTTATCAGTGCAAGAGCTGAAGAAATAAGACCCTTGACTGTGTTTCCTGGAAAGTCTCCTTAAGATCACACCTCAGGCTGGGCTGCCATGGTTATTGCCGTGCCTCCAGAGCCTTGTTTCTACCACAATCAGGAAGCTGTCATTATAGCTGCTGGGTCTAGAATGGCATTTCTGACATTCAAAATTGATGCCCCAATGCGGACCTTTGCTTTTTTCCATTTATGACTCAGTTCTAAATCAGAGTCTTGGACAAATGCCATCTGACAAGTGAACCTAAATTAGATATAAAAACCTTGGTGCAAAGGAGTTTGGAAGAAAGGCTTTTCACTCTCTACTTTGTGTGTTCACCAGGAAGCTAGGCAGTATTGTACAAGCCAGTTCACAGTATTTGTAAACTTCCTGAATATTTGAATTTTAATGTTCCTACTATTTATTTTTACATGAGCATTAGTGTATTGTTTTGGGTATTCAAAAAATTTACATAAACTACATCTTAGTGCAATTTTGCCTTTTCATCCAATATTATTAATTTTTCCCCGTCAACATCTGTAGCTCTGCTTCAGTCTTTTTCAGTGCTCTACAGTTTACACATTAGTTATTTGTTGCTGTGTAACAAATTGCATTAAAATGTAATGGCTTAAAACATGTGTTATCTCAGTTTCTGTGAGTCAGGATTCCAGGTGTAGCTTAGCTGGGCCCTCCGGCTCAGATTCTCTTGTAAGGCTGTAATCAAGGTGTCTCCTGGGAGAGTGGTCTCATCTAAAGACTTGACTAGGGCAGGATCTACTTCCACCTTACTCACGTGGTTGCTGGGAGGATTCAGTTCCTTGCTGGTTGTGAGCTGCAGGCTAACATTAGTTCCTTGCCATGTGTGTCTCACAAGGCAGCTCACAATATGGCAGCTTGCTTCATCAGAGTAAGCAAACAAGAATGTGGTATCACCATCTGTCATGGGTAGAACAGTGTCCCCCTGAAACCTCAAAATGTGACTTCATGTGGAAATAGGGTCCTTCCAGATGTAATTAGTTAAGGATTTTGAAGTGAAACCAGCCTGGATTTAGCATGGACCAGTGTTTTTATAAATAGAAGGGAGGACACAAGTCCCACATTAGGCAATGTGAAGATGGAGGCAGAGATTGGGACAATGCATCTGCTAGCTAAGGAACATGTCAGCAGCACAGCATGGTTTTTCTCTCTGGGCCTACAGAAGGAACCAACCCTGTGGACACCTTGACCTCCAGCCTTACAGTCCCAGGAAACATAAGACAATAAATTTACATTGATTTGAGCTACCTAGTTTGATTTGTATCTTTTGTCATATGTTACTTTTGTTTTGTTTTCTTTTTTGAGATGGAATCTTGCTCTGTCATTCAGGCTGGGGTGCAGTGGCACGATCTCAGCTCACTGCAACCTCCGCCTTCTGGGTTCAAGCGATTCTCCTGCCTCAGCCTCCTAAGTAACTGGGACTATAGGCACACGCCACCAAGCCCAGCTAATTTTTGTATTTTTAGTAGAGATGGGGTTTCACCATATGCTACTTTTTTTTACATGTAGATCTTTACAATTGATTTTGTGTATGAGTTTATACTTATTTCTGCCACTGTCTTTTCTAACTCATGCATTTTCTTTTTCCATTTGTCTTTTATTGGTTGCATTAGTTGCACTTTATTTCTTCTTTGCTTTCCTGTGATTTTTTTTTTTTTTTTTGGACACAGTTTCACTCTTGTTGCCCAGGCTGGAGAGCAATGGTGCGATCTTGGCTCACCACAACCTCTGCCTCCCAGGTTCAAGCGATTCTCCTGCCTCAGCCTCCTACGTAGCTGGGACTACAGGTACCCGTGACCACGCCTGGCTAACTTTTCTATTTTTAGTAGAGACGGGGGTTTCACCACATTGGCCAGGCTGGTCTCGAACTCCTGACCTCGTGATCTGCCCACCTCAGCCTCCCAAAGTGCTGGGATTACAGGCGTGAGCCACTGTGCCCGGACTGTTTTTTCTCAGCTTTGTATTTCTCTTTGTGCTCACTGGTCTAGTTTCACTTGTATGGATTTATTCATATTGCCTAGGATTCGCTGTGCCTTTAAATCTGCGGACTTGCGTCTATCAAATCCTGGAGGACTCTGCACTCCTCCAGATGGTGCTTCTTCCTGCTCTCCCTTCTGGATCTCCTAATTGGACATATTTTGAAGTGTTTCTTTCTGCTCTCATATTTTCTTTTCCATTTTTCTCTCTGTGCTGTATTCTAATTGAGTCCCTTCATTGTCTTCCAATTTACTAATTCCCTCTAGTTACGTCTGGTCTTCTGTGACACCTAGACATTGAAGTTTTTTGTCTGTTTCAGTGACTATAGTCATCATCTCTAGAATGTCTATTAATATGTTTTTTTGTCAAATCTATTATTTTATTTTTAAACTGTCTGTCTTGGTTTAGGTTTTTGTGTGTTTTTTTTTTTTTTTTTTTTTTTTTTTGAGACGGAGTCTTGCTCTGTCGCCCAGGCTGGAGTGCAGTGGCGCCATCTCGGCTCACTGCAAGCTCTGCCTTCCGGGTTGATGCCATTCTCCTGCCTTAGCCTCCCGAGTAGCTGGGGACTCCAGGAACCCACCATCACGCCCGGCTAATTTTTTCTATTTTTAGTAGAGATGGGGTTTCACCGTGTTGGCCAGGATGGTCTCAATCTCCTGACCTCGTGATCCGCCCACCTCGGCCTCCCAAAGTGCTGGGATTACAGGCATGAGCCACTGAGCCTGGCCTGGTTTAGTTTCTTTTTCGCTTATCTGTTTAAGCATGTTAAGCCTACTCATCTTAAAGTCTCTTTCAGATTATTTGATAATTATTACCAGCTCTTGGTGATGCAAATTCCATATATTGCACACACTGCTATCTCTGCCTCAAGATGGTCGAGTTCTTCGTGTGGTTTGTTTCCTTTTTTCTTTGCACCTGGGGAGGGGACAGAACTGTCTTCCCCGCTCAGTCCACAATTACCATCTCAGGCCAAATATCTTAACACAGGACAAAGCCTTTGTTTCCTTAAACAGAAACTCCAAAGGGCTTGCCCTGTCAGCCCTCCAGTGCCCTGACATCTCTGAATGGGCACCTCGTGCCCAGGACCCATCTCTGAGAGCCCTGTCAGTTCTCCAGTGTGCCTCTTATCTCTCAATTCCCATTCAGAGGTACCAGGCAGTGAACTAAGGTTAATTCTGAGAACTTCTCAACATACTCATCTGGCCCTGTGTGACCTTGAAAAAGTCATTTAACTACCAGTCTTTTCTGTAAAGTAAGGAATATTCTTTCTTTTCTTTATGATTTAGAGACAGGGTCTTGCTTTGCTGCCGAGGCTGGAGTATAGTGGCATGATCATAGCTCACTGCAGCACTGAACTCCTGGGCTCAGGCAGTCCTCCCACCTCAGCTCCTAAGCAGCAGAGATCACAGGTGCATGCTAAATTTTTTGTAGAGATGAGGTCTTGCTACGTTGCCCAGGCTGGTCTTGAACTCTTAGGCTCACAATGTGCTGAGATTACGGTCATAAGCCACTGTGCCTGACCTTTATTTAAAAAAAAAAATATTATAAGTATTATGAGACAAAGAACTCTCCAAAAAGATGATAAAACATGATTTCTTAAAAAGAAATGGTTTAATTTCATTTTTATCTGGGAAAAAAACCACAAATACGAGTTTAAAATGAAATGACAAATACATTGACATGTCAAGTGTCATTTTTTATGGTATTATGCTTATTCAAGGTGTGAAGATACAGAACCTCTTTATAAATTTCTGGCATCAAAGATTCCCACCGTAGATAAAAACAGGTTGGTTATAAAATGTCAATTCATTAAATATTCAATTTTTGTTCTTTGTTTTTATAAGGAATATTTTGTAGAAACAGTATAAAATAGAGTAGACTTTTGGAAATTGAATTATAAAATTTTAGAAAAAAGTGTTAAGTCCTAACTTTTCTTTGCGAACCAACAAGAGAGTCTAGTTTTACCTTGGGGAGTTACCTGTGAAGTGCATTAGGCGGCTAGAGCTGTTTCAGAGCCCTGGGTTCTATACAGTAGAAGCAGCCTTCTTTAGCACTTAGAATACGACCCCAGCTTTTTCCAGTTAGCCTCAATCAGAAAAGTTTAACATACATGAATATTTCTATAGTGCAGTAAAAGTGTCATTTTATTAATTTGCATTATGAAAATAAGTCTGTATACCAAGTAATGCATAATGAATATGAATCATGTAAATTTGGTCACGGTATTTGAAGTTGGCTTTGGCTCTGAAGTATTTTTGAATTCATAGAAAATATTGAGCTTTTAATAAAATAAATAAAACATTTTAATTGATATTAATAATCAAGTTCAAATTTTAATTTTTCATCTGCTACTCAATTTTAAAAGAGAAGTCACTCTCAGTAGTGTTCCCAAGTGAGCGATTGCACCTTCTATGATGTGAAAAAGTTGCTAAAGATCCTATTGCCATTAGCCGTTCTTAAGTGCTGAACGTAACTGAGAGAATTGTTTGCAATAGACATGCTCTGTCACTGGCAGGAAGTCCATCAATACCCTTTGCAGGGGCACTCCAGACCTTGTGTTTTACCAGAAACTGAGGCAAACCGTGGTCCTCATGTGCCTTTCTGAAGAGCTCCTGCAGCAGGCCCAGGCTACAGTGGCCAAGTCTCACTTGACAGTAATGGCATTGGATGGTGGCTGCAGAAGGTTACTGATGTCCCCGTGGGCTTTCACAGGCTATGCAGATCGGGGGCTGTTCTGCCTAGTACTGAAAGGACCAAGGAGCTCTGGCTGCCCTCAGGAATTCCAAATGACCGAAGGAACAAAGCTTCAGGGCTCTGGGTGGTGTCTCCCACTATTCAGGAGGTGGTCGGAGGTTCCGCAGCTTCATTTCGTCCAGTCCTTTCCAGTATTTAAAGTTGTTGTCAAGATGCTGCATTAAATCAGGCAGGTCTACAAAGGCTGGAGAGAAAGATAGGAATGTGATATGCTTTCACAGCCTCTGTTTACATTTTAGGCTTTCACTAAGAGCATTTTAAAGAGTGACAGATGGGAGCAGGCATCTGCGTGAGGCTAAACAGACCCGGGCAAACACACCCAGCAGCTTCAACGAGCCGTGGCTGACTGAAGTTAAACCCTGTCCTCAATGCCAGCACCTCCTCTGTGACCACCTGCTGAGCTGGTAACTGTGGTAAATAAAACAGAAGGTGGCTAATCTGCTTAATTACCATTAAACCAGCAGCACCTTTGGGCCTGGGGTGTCAGAAAGCAGTATGTAGTGTGCCCCTGCCCCCCCGCCCCAACCGATGGCCTGGCCCTTGTGTGCTCACTGTCCCTTCACGCATGCTTCACATACACCAGCATCTCCTTTCACCTGCACCACATGAAGAACGTGCAGCCTGGGGACACACGCGTCTGGTCTCAGTCCCAGAAGCAGTGAGCTGCAGAGTATGCAGTGTCCCCCAAAGCTGCAGCTATCTAGCTCCACTGCTTCAGTCCTTCTCCCCAGCCGCCTACCCCTGTTCTACGGCCTTCTTGAGACATGGGTTTATTTCCTGACTGGATCTGGACATTTATCAGCCCTGTAGCCCCTCCTTCAAGGTGCAGCCCTCAGGACGAAGATGCACGTGGAATATCAGTTCTCCGATATTCTTTTATTTGACAGACTCCTGTGCCCCACCTGAAGTTAAAGGAGGGTGACATGCATCAGTCAGAGACAGACCAGTCCTTCTGGTCTTGTGTAGAGTGAGGCTGGGAGAAGCAGGGGACAGTGGAGGGCAAAGGGCTGCTGTAGAAACACCATGGGTTTTGGAGCCAGCACGATTGGTTTTGAACCCTAGCTGCTCTACTACAAGCTGTGGGGCCCCAAGTTCAATCCCGTCATCTATAAAACAGGCATAAAGACACCTATGCCTGCGGGGAGTGTTAAGAAAGAACACCTAGCCCTCAGGGGCCCTCGGTGATGGTTCACTTCGCTCTTGTTCTTGAAAGCCCAGGCCCCAAATCATATTCTACAGTCAAATGCACTCTGCTCTTTCATACGCGGTTCCCCATTATTTAGAGGAAAATATGCTATTTTAAGGAAGATTTCTTACCATCCCAAGCATCAAACATGTCTGTGATGAAGTAATCAATGAAAGAGATTTGGGATTTGGGGATGCTGCAGGTATTTCTGTCAAACACTGGCATCACCACAGGTAAGCCCTGCTGCTTCTCTTCATCAGTCTGTAAAGCAGAAAATGTGATCAGGAGACCCCAACATCTGGTTCCACTCCACCTAGGGGCAGCCCCTCCCCCAGGAAGAGCTTCTCCTGGCAGCCTAAGGTGGCTTGTCATGGTGAGAAGCCAATCACCACCTCACGCAGCCAAACCATGTCTCATAACAGATACCAAGTTCTCAGAATGAGGACTACTCCATGTCAGTGGGGTCTGAGGACACCCCAACTCAAGCCAAACTTTAAACATCTGGAAGCCTCCTTGCAGAAGCTCTTCAGGTAAGATCCCAAACATTATGTGTAGTCAGCCACCGCTCTGTTGTTCGTATTGACCTAAAGAAACTGAGGCAAAATTAATATACAGAGTTTACAGGCTACTGGCCTAGAGTCCACAGAGCAGGCGATTACTTAGGTCAGGGTGGGGAGTGAGACGTAACTGCTGTCACATTTCAATGCCTCTCTGGGTCTGACAACTAAGGGGGCTCACATCCCTCAAAGAAAAAGATCTGTTCTTTTCTCACTCCTATCACAGTCCAGCCGTCCTTCCACCTGGCTTGAAGCATCCCCACACAGGGGCCACTTTACAAGGAAGGGCCTAGTGGCTGCTTCTCATCTATGGCTAAATTATTTTTTTGAAAAGGTTCTGAACACCCTTGAGATCCTGGATGTTTAAAAAAAAAAAGAGCTCTGAGTATTTATGTACTTTAGTCAAACTCTTCCACATCTTCAGGATTTCAGAGAGACTCGCAAAAAACTAAAAACATAATTAAGAACCTGAGGAAAAAGGCAAGCGTCCTGTTCTTTCTTTGATAAGGTCTCATTTTGGCCCAATGGTGCTGGAGAAAAGGGTGAGGTAAGGTCCATGGGGTGGGAATGAGGCCAGAAGTCCTGAGTGCATTCTTTAGAAGCCCCTGTGGATGTGCAACCGGAATCGCTGCAAGATCCCTGCTGTGCCAGGGCGCCTGTGCTGGGAGTCAAGTCAAACAGTGGGGCAGGATGAGAACAGGGTGAGCGCAGATGGAGTGAGGTAGGAGTGGGCTGGGGGGAGCAGCTCTTCTAGATGGGACCCTAGTACATGTGTGGGGCCGGGTGAAGGGATGGTGGCTGTTGTATTGAACACTAGCCTTTCTCCCCAGTGCCAGGGCTGGAGGGGGTAGAGCCAGCCCTCTGGGGGTCACTCTGGGAGGGCCTGAGGAGGTGTTGGGCCAGGTGTGGTAAGGGAGAAGGGTAGCTGAGTGCACAGAAGAAAGGCTAACCACTTGCTAACCACTGAAGTCTCGTCCCACTGTTGGCCACTCACAAGACGTGTCTTCTACACTCACAGCCGAACTTCCAGCTCCCAAATGGCCAGCAGAGCTCACCCCATCACAGCCAGGCTCTGGTAGCTGGCAGAACTCACTCGCAGCTCCTCCCCTTAGCCCTTGCTCCACAGGGCCTCACCATGGCTGCAGCACCTCGCCCAGAACGTTCCCATGCTTGCACTCACAGGCCCTCCAGGGGATGCCAGGTCAGAAAGTTCTCTCGTCCCAGCATCTCTCTCCCCCCACCGCAGCTCTACGGCACCAGCTCCGGCACTTGCGTGGAGCTCCCTAAAGTCGCTGACTCCATTGCCTTTTTTCTGTGCACTCAGTCACCCTTCTCCCATCTTCCTTACTACACCTGGCCCAGCACCTCAGGCTCTCCCAGAGTGACACCCAGAGGCCTGGCTCTACCAAGTATTTCTGCACCTTGCCCTGTGCACAACAACTCACTCCGGCTCTCCATATGGGCTCTCTACTTGAGAGAAGCAGGCGAACCTCTGGAGGTTTTCCTAGGATGGCACCATACCTAGCACAGTGCCCAGAGGTGCGTGTATGCTAGGTAAGTGTTGACGGTGCTGGGGACAAGTGCCAAGAAAGTCAGGTGAACAGTGCTAGACTGTGGGACTGAGCAAAAGTCAGAAGAGTTCCTGCTGTTCTGGTGGTTCAGCATATGGGATTCACGTGCTTTGGTAAGAGGAGTGGGGAACGCTGGCCCAGCATCCGCTGGCTGTGGTGAAGGCCCTGCTGTTGGCAGCCCCACTGCTGTCTAAGAAAAGCAGTCAGCCCTACACGAGTCTCTGCCATGGTATAGAGAGGAAGGGGTGGGGGCGCAGGGAGGGCCTTGGGTTCACACCCCATGGGCCTGTCCAGCTCAAACAGCAGTGCCCTGGGCGGGGCGCTCTCCTGATGTGCCCTCCCTTGGTCACGCTAGACCCTAAGCCAGCTCTCTCTGGGCAGCCATGGCAAAGGCTCCGTTAGCTCAGCCACTCAGTCATCCAGAGGCTGTTCTGTCTTTCTGCTCTCAGGGCCTGCCCTCCCTATTCACATGTAAGCAGCTGGCTGGCTGAAGGTCAGTGAAGACCCTCGTGCTTAGATTTCTTCTCTTTGGCCCAATGTGACAAGTGCATGGAACGTCCAGGGGCCCCCGTTCCCTCCTGGAGACCAGCAAACTGTGGCCCATGCCCTCATCTAAGTCACCAGTGAGAACTCCACACCTGTAGATGCTTCCTTTCTGTGACCCCACCTGCAAGGCAGGGTCTACAAGTTTCACATTTCACCGCTGTGCCCCAAGCGAAAATAAAAGACTGTACAACACCTGGCACAGAGCCAGGCAAGTGGTACTCAAGCCCCACTCCCCATGAAGTCAAGCAGCCCCAGCCAGAGACAAACCAGAGATGCCTCTTCACCTTGCTTCAGGCCCTGGCACTCTTAGTATCCATGCTATTCAAGAGACAGGGTGGCTATAAGGGGTGAACTTGCAAACCTAACCCCACTGAATACAAGAAGCAACTGTATCTTAATGTCTTAATGACTTTAAAATCAAAGCCTGAGCACCGGAGTAACATCAGTAATATGGGGGACTAGGAAGCTCCAAGTCCTCATTTCTCCATGAAATGAGAGACTGGCTAAAATAACCTTACAGGAACTCTGGAAAACAGTCAAAAGTCTACAGCAACCAAGTGAATGCCCACTCAAGAAAAGCCACATTCAAAACAGCAGGAAACTTAAGGGTATTTTCACTCAACCTTGCACCACACTTCCCCAGTGTGGTACAATCTTGGTCTGGAGGAGGCAGCGGCCCAGTTTCCAGCTGTGTCCCTTGAACCGGAGGGAGCAGAGCAGACCTTATTTGCAACATTCTGACAAGTCTGTGGGCTGCCTGAAGGATTGGTCTCTGTTTCACTTAGCTCCCAGGTAGAAAAGCAATGACTACTGCTCAGGAAAGCTGCAGGGGGATGACCAATATGGATGCCTGAAGACAAGAGATTATGAGCGGAGACCAACAACAGATCATCTAAGGCCCTGAGGATAACCTCAGACAAGACACTTCAGGAAATTAAGACATCTGAAAGCAGCTGTGTATATAGGGGAATTAAGAAGAGTATGTATATGCAGACCCAGACAAGACATGCTCAGAAAATGTTTGAGAAAACTTTAAACTTTCATGATGGGTTAATTGTAAGGCTGAGAGACAGTTTTCAAAGACTAGGAGAGGTGGCTGTTTTTTAAAATGCCTAATTTTCAACAAAAATCACAAGGCATACAAAGAAACTAGAAAATATGGTACACTCAAAGGAAGAAAAGAAACTGTCCCTAAAGATGTACAGGCACTGGACAAAGACTTGAAAACAACTGTCTTAAATATGCTCAAAGACCTAAAAACACACACACACACACACACACAGACCAGGAACTATAGGAAATGACAGGTGAACACCACAGTGAGAATATCAGCAAAGAGAGAAATTATGAAAAGTAACCTAACAAGCCAGGTGCGGTGGTTCACACCTGTAATCCTAGCATTTTGGGAAGCTGAGGTGGGTGGATCACCTGAGGTCAAGAGTTTGAGACCAGCCTGGCGAAACCTCATCTCTACTAAAAATACAAAAATTAGCTGGGCATGGTGGCGGGCACCTGTAATCCCAGCTACTTGGGAGGCTGAGGCAGGAGAATCACTTAAACCCAAGAGGCAGAGGTTGCAGTGAGCCAAGATGGCACCATTGCACTCCAGCTTGGGCGACAGAGCAAAAACTCCATCTCAAATTTGAAGGCTGAAAAATACAAAAAACAAATTAAACTTCACCAGAGGGGTTCAGTATCAGATATGGGCAGACAGAAGAAAGAAAAAAGAATGAAGAAAAGTGAATAGAACCTAATGAATTTATGGGAAACCATCAAATGGACCAATACACATCTTATGAGTTCAGCAAAAAGAAGAGGAGAAGAGAAGGACAGAGATTATTTGAAGAAATAATAGCCAACAGGCACAGTATTTGTAACCTCAGCTACTTGAGAGGCTAAGGCAGGAGGGTTTCTTGAACCCAGGAGTTCAAGACCAGCTTGGGCAACATAGTGAGACCCCATATTTGAAAAAATCTTGGCCAAAAAATGCCATAATCTGGGGAAAGATATGAATCTACAAATCCAAGAAGCTAAATAAACTCCAAGTAGGATAAACCCAAAGAGATCTATCTGAGACACACTATAACCAAACAGTCAAAAGACAGAGGATCTCGAAAGCAGCAAAAGAAAAGACTCATCACATATAGGAGATAATAAGATGATCTGCTCATTTCTCAGCAGAAACCTTGAAGGCCAGAAGGCAGTGAAATTATATATATGAAGTGCTAAAAGATAAAAAACTGTCAACTGAAAATTCTGATTCAGGCAAACTGTCCTGCAAAAAAGAGGAATTAAGACATTCCTAGATAAACATAAGCCAAGGGAATTCATTACCATTAGACCTGACCTACAAAAAATGCTAAAGGAAATCCTTTAGGTTGAAATAAAAGGAAGCTAGACAGTAACTTGATATAAAGATCTCTGATAATGGTAAATACATGGGAAAATATAAAAAGCAGCATTATTACAATTTTGTTTTGTAACTTTACTTTTAAAAATGCATAAAAATAATTTTAAATGTTAATGGACATATAATGTATAAAGATATTACTTGTGACATTTACAAAATGGAGTGGGGTGGTAGAGCTATATAAGAGTTCATGTATGCAATTAATGTTAAGTTGACATCAAAACCAACTGTTGTAACTTTAGGTTGTCCTATGCAATCTCTATGGTATCCACAATGCAACTATCTATAGAAAAAGGGAATCAAAATGTGCCATTACAAAATATCAAATAAGCACAACAGGAGGCAGTAATGGAGGAAGAGGGACAAAAAAGCTGTAAGACATACAGGAAACTAACAAAGTGGCAAAAGTCTTTCCCTATCAGTAATTATTTTAAGTGTAAATAGATTCAACTCAAAAGCCACAGACTGTCAGAATGGATAAGAAAACATGATCCAACTACATTCTATCTACAAGAAAATCACTTTAGCTCTCAAGACATACATATGTTGAAAATGAAAGGATGGAAAAAGATATCTCATGAAAATAATATCCAAGAGAGAGCTGGGGTGGGTATCCTAAAAGACAAAATAAACTTTATGTCAAAAACTGTTACAGGCCAGGCGCGGTGGCTCAGGCCTGTAATCTCAGCACTTTGGGAGGTTGAGGTGAGCGGATCACCTGAGGTCAGGAGTTAGAGACCAGCCTGACCAACATGAAACCCCGTCTCTACTAAAAACACAAAAATTAGCCAGGCATGGTGGTACGTGCCTATAATCCCAGCTACTCAGGAGGCTGAGGCAGGAGAATTGCTTGAACCTGGGAGGCAGAGGTTGCAGTGAGCCAAGATTGTGCCACTGCACTCCAGCCTGGAAGGACATTAATAAAAGGGTCAATTCATCAGGAAGATATAATGATTATAAGCATATAAGCATCAAATACCAGAGTTCCAAAATATATGAAGCAAACATTTATAGAACTGAAGGAAGAAACAGATACTTCTAAAATAATGGCTGGAGACTTCAATACTACATTTTTATAATGAATAGAACAATGAGACAATAGAGTTTGAACAATGCTCTAGGCCAACTGGACCTAACAGAATGTATAGAACATCCACCCAACAACAGTAGAGTATACATTTTTTTCTCAAGTGCAAATGGAACATTCTCCAGGATACAACATATGATAGGCCACAAAACAAACAGTATATATTTTAAAAGGTAAGGTCATACAAAGTACCTTTTCTAATAACAGTGAAATGAACCAAAACTCAGTAATGGAAGGAAAACCGGGAAACTCACAAGTATCTGGAAATTAAATAGCATATGCTTTGATATGGTTTGAATGTCTGTCCCCTCCAAATCACATGTTGAAAAATAATCCCCAGTGCTGGAGGTGGGGTCTGGTGGGATGTGTTTGGGTCATGGGGGCAGATCCTTCGTGAATGGCTTAGTGGCCTCCCCATGGTAATGAGAGATCTTGCTCTGAGTTTACAGGTAATCTGGTTAAAAGTGTGGCAATTCCCCCTGCTCTCCTGCCATGTGATACATCTGCTTCCCCCTTCCTTTGCTCTGATCATAAGCTTCCTGAGCCCTCACCGGAAGCTGAGCAGATGTTAGTTCTATGCTTGCACAGCCTGCAGAACCATGAGCCAAAATAAACTTTTCTTTATAAATTACCCAGCCTCAGGTATTCTTTTATAGCAATGCAAATGGACTAATATACGCTTAAACAACCAAGGGGTCAAAGAAGAAATCATAAGGGAAATTAGAAAATACTTTGAGACAAATGAAAATGAAGCACACTATGCCAAAAGTTATTAGATGCAGCAAAAACAGTGATAAGGGGGAAATTAACAGCTGTAAATGCCTACAAGATTTTAAATCAACAACCTAACTTAACATGTTATGGAGCTACAGAAAGAATAAACTAAACCTAACGCTAGCAAAAGGAAGGAAATAATAAAGAACAGAGGTATATAGAGAACAGAAAAAAACAAAACCAAAAGATAATTTTTTGAAAAGATCAACAAGATTGACAAATCTTTGGCTAGATGGACTAAGAAAAAAAGACAAGACCCAAATTACCAAAATCAGAATGAAAGTGGGAACATTACTCCAGGTTTCATAGAAATAAAAAGGATTATAAGAGAGTACCATGAACAACTGAATGCCAACACAATGGATAAACTCCTAGAAACATGCAACCTACCAGGACTGAATCATAAAGAAACAGAATCTGAATAGACCAATGACTAGCAAGGAGATTGAATCAGTAATCAAAAACCTCCCAAGAAAGGATGGTTTCACTGGTTAAATTCTACCAAACATTTTGAGAAGAATTAATATCAATCCTTCTCAAACTCTTCCAGAAAAACTGAAAAGGAAGGAAGTACTTCCTAACTCATTCCATGAGGCCAGCATTATCCTAATAAAGCCAGACAAAGACACTACAAGAAAATTGCAGGCCAATATCCCCTGTAAATACTGATGCACAAATCCTTAATAAAATACTAGCAATCCAAACTCAGCAGCATATTAAAGGATTATACACAATGACTATGTGGAATCTATTTCTGAAATGCAAGATTGGTTCCGCACATGAAGATCAGTGTGATATACCATATGAAGAGAATGAAGGGAAGAAAACCCAGATCTAAAATGGTAAATTTTACCATAAAAAAGGAAGAAAAAAGAAACTGCTAAACTGCTTCCCAAAGTGACTGTAGCATTCTACACATCTATCACAAATGCATGCATTCTAGTTGCTCCACATCTTCAACATTTGGTGTTGTCAGCCTTTCCCATTTTTAGCCATCCCATTGGGTGTGTAGTGGTATTTCACTGTGGTTTTAATTTGAATTTCCCAGATGACTAATGATGTTCAGCACTTTTTTCATGTGCTTATTGGCTTTTCATAATAGCTTCTTTGGGGAAGTGTCTGGACAAATACTTGCCTATAATAAATTGGGTGGTTTATCTTTTACTACTGAGTTATAGTTCTTTATATATCTATGGATACAGTCCTTTCAAATATAATTTGTAAATATTTTCCTCCAGTATGGCTTGCCTGCTCATTTTCTTAGCTGTGTTTTGAATGAGCAAACTTTGTAAATTTTGAAGAAGTCTAATTTATCAAATTTTCTTCTTATGGTTGTTGCTCTTTTCTTTTTATTAAGACACAGTCTTGCTCTGTCACCCAGGTTGGAGTGCAGTGTACAATCATGGCTCACTGCAGCCTCAACCTCTGAGGCTCAAGCAATCCTCCTGCAACTGGGACCACAGGCACGTGCCACCACCACAGGCAACTAATTAAAAAAATTTTTTTTTCTAGTGATGCGGTCTCATTATCTTGCTGAGGCTGGTCTTGAACTCCTGGACTCAAGTAATCCTCCCACCTTGGCCTCCCAAAGTGCTGAGATGACATGTATAAGCCACTGCACCTGGCTGGTTGTTGCTTTCTGCATCTAAGAAATCTTTGTCCACTTTCAAGTCATTGAGGATATTCTGGTATGTTTCTCTCTAAAAGCTTTATGGTTTTAGCTGTTGTATGTAGGTCTATGAATTTCTCTATGGTATGAGATAGGAGTTGTGGTTCTTTTTTTTTTTTTTTTTTTTTGCATAGGAATATCCAATTATCCTAACACCACTTACTGCAAAAATTTCACATTAGCCACTGATCATATAAATGTGATCTGTTTCTTGGATTTCTATTCTGTCCCATGGTTGTACTTGTTATCTTTATGCCAGCACCACACTTTCTTGATTATTTTAAGTTTTGAAGCCAAACAGGGCATATCTTCCAACTTTTTAAAGTTTGCTTTGCTTATTCAAGGTCCTTCTCATTTTCATATATAATTTAGAAACAGTCTGTAGACTTCCACAGAAAAAAAACCTGCTGAAATTTTTGAATTGAAACACCAATTTGGGTAGAAGTGAATGTTAACACTGAGCCTTCCAGTATGTGAACATGATATGCCTCACCATTTATTCAAGTGTTCATTAAAATTTTCAGCAATGTTTTATGGTTTTCACTGTAAAGTTCTGGTCATCTCTTATTAAATTTTTTCCTAATTTTAATTTTTAAATTTTATTTCCTACTGTAAATGGGACTGGGCTTTTGGTTTCATTTTCCAATTGTTGGTTGCTAGTACATAAAATACAACTCACTTTTGTATATTGAGCTGTGTCCTATGACATTGGTAAATCAAATCCACTTATTAGTGCTAATAATTGTTTGTATATTCCTTAGAATTTTCTGCATAAAATCATGTCATCTGCAAACAGAAGCAAATGTATGTCTTACTTTTTGTTCTTTAAACCTCTCTCTCCTTTGTCTATTGCAATGATGAGGAACACCAATACAAGGTTGAACAGAAGAGGTAAGAATGGGCACCCTTACCTTGTTTCCAATCTTAAGAATGTATTCAATATCTCATGCCATTAAATATAATGTTAGCTGTATGTTTTCTTTGAGACAGGGTCTCACTTTGTCGCTCAGGTTGGAGTGCAGTGACATGATCATGGCTCACTGCAGCCTCAACCTCCTGGGCTTCAAGCGATCCTCCTGCCTCAGCCTCCCAAGTAGCTTGGGACTACAGGAGTGCATCACTATGCCCGGCTAACTTTTAATTTTTTTGTAGAGACAAGGTCTCACCATGTTGCCCAGGCTGCTCTTAAGACTCCTGGGCTCAAGTGATCCTCCCAAAGCTAACAGCACTTTAAAGATGTTCCCGTGTCTTCTGGCCTTCATAGTTTTTGATGGGAAGTCAGAGGACATGAGAATCACTGTTTTCTTATAAGTAATGTGTCGCTTTTCCTCTGGCTGATTGCAAGATTTATCTTTAGCCTGTTAGCTGCTTGACTATGACACATCTGACATGGGCTAAGGTTCACTGGGCTTCTTGAATCTGTATGCATATGCATGTGCATATGCCCTCCACCAAATCTGGAAAAATCTTAGCCAGTATATTTCCTAATATTTTTTTCTGCCCCAAGAGAGGTTTTTTCTACTCAGAAAGAATATGAAGACCAGATGACTCCTTAAAAGTACTTTCAGGAAAAAAATCATCAACCCAGGATGCTATATCTAACAAAAATATCCTGCAAGAATAAAGGGAAAATAAAATATTCTTAAGAAAAAAAAAATTTGTTACCAGTTACCATTTGTTACCTTGCAAAACAAGGACAGAATTTTTTTAGAACCCTATTTCCTAGTGTTAAGTCCATTATCTCGTATGATTTTATGGGTTTTAACTCTCTCTCTCTCTAGAAACTTAAAAGAGGCAGCAACTTACCTGAGAAAAATATTCTTCCGAAATGCGTGCAGCCCACTCGATGCAGTACTGCAGGGGTCGGCAGGGATTGGACACATCAGCACATTTAATCAGCATTCGTTTGATTAGGGTCCGGTTCTCTGGAGTCCTAAGCATAGTGTTTATCACTTCCTGGTTTTTATCAGTTTCCTGAAACATGAGTGGAATTCAAAGCAATCAAAATGGATCCCTTGGTGCCAAGCCCTCTCTTACTGGTCTGTCCCACTGTAAGCATAAAAAGAGCACTAGTCAGGATCTATAAGGATCTCACAAAACAGTGCCAAGGATACTGTGAGCATTGAGCTTGGCCTCTCATTTTACCCAGGAGAAAACCGAGGCTCAGTGAGATTGCAACAGGACCTAGAAGTGGAGGGTAGCACTAGGGGTTGGTATATCTGCCCTTCCCCTTTTCCTTGCCTCTTTCTTCTCTTCCTCTCACTAAATCTTTCTCACAGTTGCCTTTTTTTCTGTTCCACTCTCTCTCTCCCCCTTGGTAAGAACTCAAAGACTGGTTTTGTCTTTTATTATATTTATTAAAAAAGAGTATGAGCTGAAAAAAATAAATTTCTCTGCCCTCACAACAAATGGGCTCTTGCAGCCCAACAGCCTCCGTACTTCTCAACCCAGTCCTGTGATAGGGCAGATTCCCAAGATAACACCTAACATATTTGATGGATAAAGGACTTAACAGTCATTCTCTGTTGATCTGCACTCACAAGAAGATCTAATGGTAAGCATGAAAAGTATTATTTATTACATTTTACAAATGAGGACACTGAGACTCAGGGAGGTGAAGTGACTTGTCCAAAGCAACCAGCCGAGCCAGGATAAGAACTTCAGTTCTGCCTTTAGTCCCAGCATGCCTTCCACTCACAGTACCACATGCTGTCTGCATCCAAGGATCCCCACTGGATATGGATCAATTTATGATGTAATAGAACCACTATTTGTAGGCTCTCTGAAGAGAATTCAGGTTAGAGGGTATTGGGGCAGAGAGCAATGAAAAAGACTAAAGGCAAGCAGGTCTCCTCAGTCTGATTCTGTGCCCATCAAGCAACATTCCAAAGGAGTTAGTCATATATTTCAATATGCAATAGCAGTAGCCTAAGAAGCCCTGATGGTCCCAGCTCAGAGGGAACAGACTGCCATCAAGATGGACGGGTGGCATCCTGACTCTAGGCTTCCCACACTTCCTGGAGAGTGCCAAAATGAATACTACACCGGTGACACTTCAGTAGCTCTCCTCACTCCAGGTTTCCACTGTGACCAGCTCTGTGCTGACCCTTCTTTCTTCAGATCCGTTAATACCTGCAGTGTGACTATAGTTTCATACTGCCAGCCTGGAAACTATTCTCTTTCATCTTCCTTTCTCCTGCTCTGACCCACTGGATATTGATTTTCAGTCTCTCAGAAGTAACCCCATGTACCGACAACAGAGATGAGAACCATAATGTTAAGTGGAGCAGAGAACTCAGCTCTAGGGGCTGTCCAGACTAGACAGAGGAAACCAAGTCTGCTGGGTGTATGGTTTCCTTCTGTGGCATGAGGTCAGCCAGGAGTGGTGGCCAGGTGACAATGAGCCCTATCCAGAATGGCAGGGCAGGAGCCAATAAAACAGGCTGGTACAGGCACCTCTGTTAAAAGTCTTTGGAAAGAGAGTGAAGTCAGGGGCAGGCTGACAAATTGAGAGAACAGGAAAGGGTGAAGAAACAGTTCTCAACATCAGGTTAAACCAAAGTAAGTGTCATGGGGTAATATGCTAGAAAACCAGGGGGCAGACAAAGGCCATGGCCAAACAAATGAATTGCAGAAGTAAAATGGAGTTAGAAGTCAAGGAATTATGATCCTAGCCTGCGAGGATAAGTCATCCCTGTGTGTGGCAAATATCTCAGGATGGTGATAGGAGCTGGGGAGGAGGGTGGGAGAGAAGACTGTGAGCTGCTGCCAACATGTTCAGTAAATGTGGGCCTCAAAGGAAGAGGTTCATGAAAGAACATATTCTTTAAGTTGCTGATGACACAATGAATCTAGTATAATAGGCACCAGTTCTTAAGTGCCTACCATGTACCATGCTCATCAGTCCTATGCCTTGAGACTTCTTATCCCCATTCTACAGATAAGCAAATGATGGGAACTTGGGCCTGTATGCTTCCTCAGCTGGAGACTCCTGCCTGGTGAGAGGGTTAATGTTATCCTTGCCCAGCAGTTGTTGTGGACTCCATGCCTCAAATGTAGAAACAGGGGCAACAATAATGTCACCCTTGTGACACAAATACAGTGTCTTTCTCAATCCACATGCTCCTCTAAGTGAGGACCAAGAGAGGATAGCTGCTGCTACCATGATATGTGCCCAGTGGGAGTGGCTAGAAAGATATATCAAGGGCTCCAACTGATCACAGAATGGAGAAGAAGGGAGGGGGATATTAGTGAGGAAGGGTGCAGGAATAGTCTGTCTAAAGTTAGCTTATCTAAAATCTGACCTTCCTTTCGAGTTTTCCCATCTAGTTGGATGTGCTAATTTTTTTCCTGCCAAGTTTTTGCACTTTAAATAATTTTTTAACCAATAAAAACTAAATTCAGTGAGCCCACTGTGATGGTTAATACTGAGTGTCAACTTGATTGGATTGAAGAATACAAAGTATTGATCCTGGGTGTTTCTGTGAGAGTGTTGCCAAAAGAGATTAACATTTGAGTCAGTGGGCTGGGGAAGGCAGATCCACCCTTAATCTGGTGGGCACAATCAAATCAATTGCCATCAAATATAAAGCAGGCAGAAAAACATGAAAAGGAGAGATGGACCTAGCCTCCCAGCCTACATTTCTCCCATGCTGGATGCTCTCTGCCCTTGAACATCAGACTCCAAGTTCTCCAGTTTTGGGACTCAGACTGGCTCTCCTTGCTCCTCAGCTTGCAGACAGCCTATTGTGGGACCTTGTGATCGTGTAAGTTATTACTTAATAAACTCCCCTTTGTGTGTGTGTGTGTGTGTGTGTGTGTGTGTGTGTGTGTGTGTGTGTGTATCCCATTAGTTCTGTCCCTGTAAGAGTCTAATAGACTCACTGAGGGAACCCTTCTGTGGCTGATATCATAGCCCATGTGTCTCCATAACACAACAGTACAAGGACCCCAAACACAGGTTCTCTTTGCAATAAGTTTCCCTTACCCCATTTTCTTCTAGTGTTGCCAAGGGTTTGTTGATGCTGTTGACAAATTTGTTGACATGCTCAAAGTGCTTTGTCATTTCTGTGGCTAAGACCATGTCGATAATCCCCTGGCGCAGTGTCCGATAATCATTCCTGTTTTCGATGACAAATTAGAGGCTGCTACAAATTACTGATCCAGACCAGACAGGTACTCCTGAAAACAATCTGTTATCCAGGTATGTGTCCTCTGCAGCTATAAATCTAATGCCACTGAAAGCCACAAGGCACATTTTAAAAAGACATGGAAGTTAGGGGTTAGTGCCTAGATCGTTAGCAAGGAGAACCTCAAAAGAAGTTAAAACCAAAAGCTATAGGCAAAACTTATAGTTGCAGTGTTTATCTTGTCAATGAAGATAGAAATCTGTGGTTAGAAAGAATATACCCCACATGGAGGTGTCTTGAGGCCCAACCATTTTAGTGCCCATAGAATGTGAGGACCGATCTTCTGAAAGCTGCGAAATCATAGGGAGTACTTGATACCTCCACCTCTAACCCTTGCTTTTATTTTAGTACTTTAAAAAATTCATTTCTTGAAGGGGTAATCCATGTAATTCAAAATTTGAAGGGGTATGAATATGAAACAAAGTCTCTATTCAATCCCTTTTCTGCAGTTGAGTAGAAAACTTTCTCTGGAAAGTTAATAGGGTCTCATGTAGTTTTCCATTGATAACTGATGTAACTATAAGCAAATATGAATAGAAACTACTTTAACTCCACCTCTGAAATCCTAGAACATGGCAGAAAGGAGTTTTACAAAATCAAAAATCCTCTTCTTTAAAAATCCATATTAATAAGTATTCTTCATGACACAATGTTTTTTCTTTCTTCAACTGATATTCACTAAGTTCCTAGTATGTACCAAGCACTGTGGCACTGAGGACACAGTGACATATGACCCTTGTGACCTTACAGAGCTTAAGAATCTAATCAGACATTACACAAATCATTAAAAATAATTATTAAATAAGAAATGTGATACGTGCTACGAAGAAATCTGGGATTGAATAATTAGAGGGTTAAACTTAGCATGAGAGATCAGGGAAGGCTTCCCCAAGGAAGTGACATGTAAACAGAGACAATGCCAAGGAGATGTATGCTGAGCACAGGAGGGCAGAGTGGAGTGCTTCAGGGAGAGAGATAGATGACTGCTTCTTTGAGTCTCTAAGAGCTCAAGATATCAGCATTATACTTCACCTTGAAACATCCAGACACAAAGCGGCTGAATCTTAAAAACATTGTGCTAAGTGAAAAAAGCTAGTTACAAAAGATCACATATTGTGTATGATTCCATTTACATAAAATGTCCAGAAATGGCAAATCTATAGAGACAGAAAGTAGATCACAGTAGTTGTCTAGGACTAGGGGAGTTGAGGGGGAATGGAAAGGAACTGCTCATAAATTTGAGGTTCTATCGAAGGGGTAATATTCTAAAATTGAATATACTATGAGTTGCACAACTCTATGAATATACTAAAACCACTATGAATATACTAAAAACCACTGTACATGTTATTATTATTTTGAGACAGGGTCTCGCTCTAGTATGTACCAAGCACTGTGGCACTGAGGGCACCGAGGGCACAGTGACATATGACCCTTGTGACCTTACAGAGCTTAAGAATCTAATCAGACATTACGCAAATAATTAAAAAGTAATTATTAAATAAGAAATGTGATACGTGCTATGAAGAAATCTGGGATTGAATAATTAGAGGGTTTAACTTAGCATGAGAGATCAGGGAAGGCTCTGTTGCTCAAGCTGGAGTGCAGTGGTGTGATCACGGTTCACTGCAGCCGCAGCCTCAGCCTCCTGGGCTCAAGCAATCCTCCCACCTTAGCCTCCCGAGTAGCTGGGACTACAGACACAACCACCGAGCCTGGCTAATTTTTTTTTTCCTTTTGTAGAGACAGGGTCTCCCTACGTTGCCCAGGCTGGTCTCAAACTCCTGGGCTCAAGTGATTTCTCCTGTCTCAGCCTCCCAAAGTGCTGGGATTATAGGCATGAGCCACTATGTCCGGCCCACTGTATACTTTGTGCACTTTAAATGGGTGAACTGTATAAGATGTGAATTATATCTCAATATAGCTGTTTAAAAAAGAAAGAGAGGGATCAACACACTTCCCAATCATTGTTCTTACCTCTCCATGTTTTTAAATATATTGCATTTATCATCTCCAGTGGTCAGCTGGAAGGCCAAGGCCGCATGGTGGCTCTCCAGCACAGCAGTGTCATTGTACAAAATGGCCAGCTCACTTCCAGCATTACACAGGAAGGAGTTGGTTCTCCCAGGGTGATCCACATCATGAATGGTGGCTGCGATGAGTGCAGCGACCTCATCAATTGGATCTAAAGTTTCCTGAAAACAAGAGAGCTTTTAAAAACTGGGGTATGACACTGAAGGCAAGGAAGCCTTCTGTATAGTTTTCTTTCTCCCCTATTACTTTCAGGTAAGAATATTTCAGATTTCTAAGAAAAGCATACTACGTGAGCAAATCTAGTTTTCCTATCTCCACCCTGAAACAGTTATATTTCTGCATATTTGTTAGTCTCACACAAGTTAAGGACTTACCAAAATACAGGTGTTCTCAACAGATAGGAGTCACCTCCTCAGCCAGTCTTTCTCTAGACCCATCACCAAAAAAGTCCTTAGTCTGAGATATTGACTTAGACCAGCATAAACTAATATTAATAAAGGAGAGAAACAATTTTAAATAAAATTTAAAATAGGCACCACTTACATTAACTGGGAATTGATTTAGTTTTCTTCCCCCTTTTAGTGCTATCTTTGTCAGGTTGATGTCAGAGTTTTGTGAGTTTGACAAAATGATCTGGAAGTTTTCCATCTTTTTCAAGACTCTGAAAAGTTTTATGTAACATGGAAAAATTCCTTAAAGGGCTAAAGAATTCACCTGTCCATCTGGGTCAGGAGCCAACTTTTGAAGAAATTAAATAATAATTTAAAAATTACTAAAATTACTTCCATGTTATTGGCCTCTTTTGTTTTTTTTTTTTGTTTTTTTACTTCTTACATCAATTTAATTTAAAACATTCCATTAAAACTATTTTAAAGCTTTTGATTTAGTACATATGTGTGCAGTACTTCTATTTTCTGCTGTAAATTTGTATATTTTTGTGTCTTTATATCTTAACTAGTTTGGCTAGAACTTCACCTATTTTCTTGGTTATTTCCAAGAGCCACACTGGATTATCATTTTGCTTTTCCCATGTTTTTTTTCTTCCCTTTTAAAAGTAATTAAGGCATTTAAAACATAAACCTTTAACTATATAATTGGCTTCATTCTATAGGTTTTGACAGATAAGCTTCTCATTTTTGTTATTTTCTAACTAATGTCATTTTTGGTTTTATTTCTTTGTTGATTCCCAAATTATTCAGAATATTTTCTCATTTGTTGTAGCTGATATTTTAAATTTAACCATTAGTTATTCTATTTTGTTGTGTTGTGGTTAGAAAATATAGCCTATGAAGTTTAGAAGTTCAACACATTATGTCCCAGTATAAGATCATTTTTGGAAATACCCTACAGACTCTTGAGATGTATAGCTAATAAATCAGCCTTGCAAATTTATTTAAATTGATTTAAATTAAAATTCAATAATTTAAATTTTAAGTGCGCAAATAGTATGGTATGTGAATTACATTTCAATAAATGTTTTTTTTTTTTTGAGACGAGAGTCTTGCTCTGTCACCCAGGCTGCAATGCAATAGCATGATCTTGGCTCACTGCAACCTCCACCTCCTGGGTTCAAGTGATTCTCCTGCCTCAGCCTCTCAAGTAGCTGGATTATAGGCCTGCACCACCATGCCCAGCTAATTTTTCTATTTTTAGTAGAGATGGTGTTTCACCATGTTGGCTAGGCTGGTCTCGAATTCCTGATCCATCTGCCTTGGTATCCCAAAGTACTGGGATTACAGGTGTGAGCCACCATGACATTTCAATAAATGCTCTAATAAACTGTTTTCAGTTAGCTCTCTAAATATATATTTGTATGTTGTCTATAGAGTAGTTTAAAAGCAATACAGCAAAAATTGGGTTCTTTATATGCTGAGCCATATTGACACAGATGTCCCTCTGTTGTTACTTGTTTTCATAATTTAGAAAACAGTCCCCTTCTCTGGACACCCTATTTTACCTACAGTCTGATTTGATTTTTTCTGGAAAAAAACAAAAAACAAAAACAGAAATAAGAACCAGAGGGAGCACGGAAAGTTCTGAGAAGGTTTACCCTTCAAGGTGAGGAATGAACACTTGTTCACTCCCTGTGTGTGCCAGATGTCATCTTCTGCTTTGCTCTCTGCCAAATGCTAGTCCCGTGATACAGAGGAGGAAATGCAGCCAGGAGCCACTTGCCCTGGCCCTGCATGACTGCAGTCATCTTAGGCCCCAGTCAAGGGAGCAACAGGTCAAGGGCAGAAGCTTCAGAAACTAAAGTGGTTTGGCATGGCCCAAAAGTGGCCTGTGACTGGGACAAAGGAGAAGAAATGATGAGAGGAGCTCATTGTTGAGGTGAGTGTGGAGAGCTGTAGAGTTTAAAGTTTAAATCCTGAGGGAGGTGGGAAGCTGCTCCTGGGAATGACAATATCAGGTATGCTGTTTCAGAAAGATCACATTGGCAGTAGGGTAAGGGCATTCCATGGGAGGCAGGGCAGGCAAGAATTCTAGTTTGGAACTGCCCAGATGCGAAAGGATTGCGGGGGGCCTCACTGGGACAGCAGCAGGAGATGAATCTGAGAACATTTAGGTGTGACAGGAGGCAAGGTCAGATGATCAACCAGATGTGGGGGGTTGAGGAGTGGAAAGAACCAAGGATGACTCTCGGTTTCTAATCTGGGTATCCGGTTGGATAATGGAACCCTGGATTAGGTAGATAACCCTGGGTGGGAGCAGTGCTGGGAACAGAGATGATGAACCTGACCTTAGAGCCCTGCAGACTTTCATGTACAGATGGAGGCCCTAAAGTGGGGATATCCAACAGTTACTTGGCTCTACTAGTGTACAGGCTTGGAGTGAGACCCCCAGAAGAATAGCCCTATCCTGTCCTTGTTAGGTTTCTCCTCCGGGACCAAATTCTGCCTCTTGTACCCTCATGGAATAGCTGGGATTATGTCATGAATTAACACATCAATTTCCCAAAGCTAATGTGGCCTCCTGCCTGATTCCTCGTATGACCTTGCCCTTCCTGTGCCAGGCTGCACACGTGAGCAGTCATGCTATGTATCTTAGTGGAGGCAGAAGCACTAGACTCTCCCCACTGCTCCTGCCCATTAAATGTGGCAGGTAAACAACAGCTCACCTTTATCCTCTCCTTGGAGAGAAAATAGGCAGTGGCATGAAGCACATCAGCAGAATGTGTAGAATTGTGGTAGGGATTGGAGGAATGATAATTGGCTTCGATAATTTGTAACCATGATCTTAGCGTTGACTCGGAGCAGTGTAAGAATTCACAGATTCCAAAGCGAGCAAACATTTTGAGACCAAGATAAATCAAAGGCCTATAGACAGAAAAAACCCCACAATATTAGAACAAAGCAAACAAACAGGCCAAGTGTTTAAGGCCTGAATAGGTTCCAAGCCAAATTTCAGAGAGTGCAGGGCAGCAAAGTGGAGATTGCTTGGGCTGTGCTGGCCTCTCTCTGGTGGGGCCAACCAACTCTGGTTCCACTTCTTGCCCTCAGGGGACCATGATGCACGGGTGAGAGCTGGCTGCCCACAGCAGCTCTGACCTCAGCCTCGTTGGGGCTCCCGATTTGTTGGGGGGAGTTTGCTCATTCTGTCCTTCCAGGTTCAGCTTCCTACTTGCACTAGTGGGTTCCTCAAAATAACCCTTTCTCCAGGCTAAGCTTGTACCACCTTGAACACTATCCTCTCCTTTGGACTTGCTGGACCCATGCCATTGGCCAGACATCCTGCCTATAAGAAAACATTTCCTGAAAATGTCATATAAGCCAGACACTGCCGTATGCAATGGAATTTTCTCAACACCCACCTTTCTGGAGGTGGGCGTTAAAAGTATGAGGGGATTTCCCCTGAGGTTTCCAGCTGGCCACCAAGTTAGGTTCTTACTTGAGAAATCACCTTGACCCAGCATCTGGCCCTTGCCTGTGAAGGCCAAGAAACTGGCTGTGTTGAGGCAGTATCCAGAAGTGATCACAGGACTTAAACTGACCTGCCTTAGCCCAATTCACATGGATGTAATGTCACTAGCATGTAAACCAGATGCTCAAAGACTCATGTGCCCAGGGAGTATTCTTTTCAACTCTCCTTGGCTGTGCTGGGAGATAGGGAAGTAGAACGTATCAGAAGGTTAACTCAAGGGGAGCCTGAAAAAGTCAGGGAGTTATCTTGGGGACAGGTCACCCAGACTGAGATGAGACCTGAGGAGCCATCCCATGGCCCAACCGAGCACACCTCTGCCTAGACACCCTAGTGGGCAGTCCTGGCTGGAATCAGCTCTGTGGACCTCCCTTTCTTGTGTGCCCAGCCAACTACCACCTTTGGTTAACAGCTCTTCTCCCGCAAGGGAAAAAACTCAAGGCAAAACCCCATTCCTGCTCCCACTCTCTGTGATCACACCCAGATGAGGATGACTGGGGCTTTGGGTGTCCCTATGCCTATCACCAACAGAACAACCAAAAGCTGGGAGCAGCTCTTATCACATGTGTATGTGTTTCTAATAAATTTTGGTTCTAGGCTCTGAGCAGATCTCTTACAGCAATCTTAACATATTACCACCTACAGGAGAAATACCTTTATTTCACAGAAAAAAGTCCTGTGCTACTTGGAGAAGTCACTGGCTCAGTTGCATGCTTTCCATGAATGTGCCATCACTGTGGCCAGCAGACTCTCCCCCAGGCCCTGGTGACTCAGAGCCACCTGGTGCCCTGTTACTCCTTCCTTAGGGCCCCACCCTGACCAGGTACCAGGCTTGTGCACAATCCATACTCCTCAGGTAGCCTCCTCACACAGGCCCTGGGAATCTAGTTCTCCCGCTGCTGAGCTCTGCATGAACTCACCTATTGTGGGTGGCAGCCTCCAGTTCAAAAATATCAAAGTCCCAGTATTCCTCATTTTCCATGGCCCGAGCTATCCGTGGTGGGACATCATCAAGGGAGATGGGAGTGATTATATTGCTTGAAACCATTTGAGTGTCTGTAAAGTGATGTAATTTGGAGAACAAATAGGCTTTAAAGGATTAACTTTTTTTTTTTTTTTTGAGACGGAATCTCACTCTGTTGCCCAGGCTGGAGTGTTGTGGTACAGTCTCAGCTCACTGCAACCTCCGCCTCCCGGGTTCAAGTGATTCTCCTGCCTCAGCCTCCTGAGTAGTGGGATTACAGGCACCTGCCACCATGCCTGGCTAATTTTTTGTATTTTCAGTAGAGACAGGATTTTGCCATGTTGGCCAGGCTGGTCTTGAACTCCTGACCTTGTGATCTGCCCATCTCGGCGGTGTGAGCCACCGCTCCCGGCCAGGATTAACTGTTTCTTAGGGAGGACAGTACCGCCTCAGGGACAGCTGCTTTGTTTCTGAGGCTTTATGACATACCAAGAAACTTCTTAATGAGGTGAAAAATTATTTTCATCACTTAAGCTAGACTGCAGTATTATAGACAGTGATCTAAGAAATTAAAAAGGAAAAACTTACTTTTTGTTGAAAGAACATATTCATTCCCTGATAGTCTTCGCAAACCATCCTGATAAAAATCAAGGAAACAAGAAAAAGAAAAGTCACAACTATTCTTTCCTTCCTGGAAACTCCAGGTGGTCCTCCCACAGGACAACTCAGGGCAGCCCTCTCCACCAATGCACTCAAGGCTGCCCTGGGCCCAGCAGGTCCACCCCTGTGATTGACCACTGACCTCAGTCACTTACTGGAGAGCACAACAGGCTAATGCTGGGAAGGATGGTCCTGGCCCTGTTGGAAGCTAAACTCAGGAGCAAGGTCAACACCCGGGAGGTGAGCCTGCATCTTTTGAGGGGTGGGTGGTCTTTAAGCCCAGCATTCTTGCTTGCACTCCAGGACCATTTGGTTTCTTAGGGACAACTGTGCTCTGCCCTCAGTCCTTCTCCTCCATTTTCGTGCAACCCTCCTCACTCTGAGGACACGAGGCTTTCCTGGAAACATTAGCTCCTCTCTCACCTCATAAGTGACCTCATTCCCCACAGTTGACTCTCCTGGGCTCCTCACCACTGCTTCCAGACCACCTGGCCCAAACCCGTACTCTCAGCAGCCCCTTTTCTCCAGTCCTGTGGCTATTCTCATCTGCTCGCCTCCAGGACACTATCCTACCCCCATCCCTCATCATTTTCACCTCTTACCTGCAGTCTGGAGGAGACCCTGTCTCAAATAGGCAAGACCACAGTGAGATATTATCAGCATTGTAAACACTCTACCTTCTAGATTTCTGCCTGGAACCTTATTTTTATAAAATCCAGTGACTTCAGAAAGCAGTAATTGGGAGGGAGGTGGATTTTGCTTCTGACCAAGACAAAAGCTGACAGAGAGCAATGGAATAATCTGTGCTGCACAAAGTTGTCCCTCTCTTGTGAGAGCTCTACACCAGACATGCTGAAGGAGGCATCCAGGACCCCTCAAGAGTCTATGACACAAAGCCCCCTTCTAGTGAAAGATTCCCAAATCCCTCTTTCCTACAGTCATCTAAATGTGTGTGGGATGCTTTGAAGGCCAAACTGTTGCACCCCCGGCACCATTTTAAATACATATGGCGGGAGAAAGACAATCTTTCTGTTCTACACTGTCCCAGTTTTGAAGATCTTTAATACAACTAAACAAGCTTTATTTAGATAAACTACTGTAGAAGCCCTAAGCAACACTGGAGAACTGGTGCTCAGCAGACTGTCAGGATTACATTCCTCCCTGCTCTGCTCCAAGCTAAGCTCTCCCTAGGAGGCAGGCAGCAGGTGGGTGCTTGGCCAGAGAATAGCAGAACCCAGGCAATGGAGGAGAGTTTAGGTCTTGACTGAACCCTACAGAGCCCTGCCTGCCTCTTCAATATCTGTTTAAGTGAATAACCTCTGAGAAAACAACCAAGAACAGACAGGCTCTAGCCAAGAGTCTAGTCAAATATACTTACAGACATTAAGCCCCCAACAAGGTCATTGGCATGGGGATCATCATCTTTAGCACCAAACTGTGGTGAATATAACTCAGTGGTTCTTAGAATTTCCAGCACACGGTCTAGGGCTTCTGTCACAGGCATGGGACTACTTTCCTGGGCAGCATTGATAATATTGATTACCTACATTATGGAAAGAAAATACTTGAGTTTCATAACCTTAAAAACAGTGGGAGAGCCAGGCATGGCAGTACGTGTCTGTAATTCCAGCTACTCAGGAGGCTGAGGTGGGAGAATTACTTGAGCCCAGGAGTTTGAGACTAGCCTGGGCAACAGAAATGAGAGAGCACATCTCTAAAAAACAAATAACAGCAAAAACAAAACAAAACCCAACAGGACTCAGTCTGGCCATAGTACTTAATACTAACTTAAGACTAGTTAAAATGCCCATGTCACACATCCTCTCTCTTCAGAGGAGGCTACTAGCACCACACAACTATGACAGCATGCTCATTACTGCGGGTCCCTGTTTCTTCTCATTGGAAATGATCCTTGGGGAGAACAAGGAGTATGTGTGCTCAATGGAGACAGACCACAAACTGCTTCACCTTGGTGATGGGCGCCTCAATTGTCATGGAATGTATCCGGGCCATGGAAGAGTGTCGTCTCTGGCTGGAAACTGTGGAGAAAGGGATGCACAAATCAGGGCATGCACAACTCTGGGCACCTGTCTTGACAGCAGAGGGCTCAGTGTGCTCGGCTGCATGATGAAGGGGCAGGATAGAACTGAGTTTGCTGAGCTTCCTTCCCATCCTAACAAGCCTGGGGTTCTGGCATAACCAATTCTGTTTCCTTCAGTTCTAGGCACTAGAATGCACATATGCCCCCATGGACTGAACTTCTGATGTCACAGGCCAGAGAGAAAACAGAGGAAACAATCTAGCAAGCCCAAGTCAAACAGCCTCTTTTTGTGTCTATGACAATAAGCCTTTATAATTACTTAGCTTGCCATTCTCTAGGAGTAAAAATGTTCCGGAAGACAATGCCACACAATGCTCTTTGTTTCATATATGGCAGGAGCAATACATTCAACTCACCAATAACTGAAATACACAAATTTCTGGTTAAATTTTTCAAGGTACCCTCTGGTGCTTCCCACTGTTATGTTTAATCTGGACTGATTAGGTAAATATCTTCAATGAGGCAGGCAGCAATTCTTAGGCTCTAAAGTTTGTTAATTTCTGTTGTTCCTGTCAAGATATGGTTCCTTTGGGGTGAGGAGAAGCCCAGGCAATATAGGCAGAAAAAACGTTAACATCCAGTCCTGGGTATCTCCACGAACAATCCTATCAGGCTAAATGCTGCTTCCCAAAGACGTTACAGGACCAGGGGCTGTCCCAGAGACTGATGTGTCAACCTCATTTTACCAATGAAGAAACTGAGGCCCAAGGAGAGACACCGTCCAAAGTTAACCAATTCAGGGGGTCTCAAATGTTTTAAATTTGGGGGCCCAACTAAACTTCTTAAAATTTTGGTGATTATAGGATTGCCAACTTTCCATTTTACCCAACAAGGTCATTAAACCAAAAATAAAAACTCCTATTTTATCACTGTCATAAAAGGACTTGTTTTCATTTAAAAATAATTGATATATGCTTGTAACAAACAACAGAGATCTATTGTACAACATGGTAACTACAATTAATAACAAGGTATTCTTGAAAATTGCTAAAGGTAGATTTTAAGTGTTCTCACCACAAAAAAATGAAAGTGTATGAGGTAATACACGTTAATTAGCCTGATTTAGTCATTTCACAATGTACAGATAGGTCAAAACATCATATACATGATAAATACACATAATTCTTGTCAATTAAAAATAAAGGAATTAGAAAAAAATCAAACAGAGCAATAAGGTAAGAAAAAAAGTATAAAGATTGTCATGACTGTGTATACAGAAAGCCCAGAAGAATCTATAAATGCACTCCTCTTCTTTTACAGTGAGTAAGTTTACCCAAGCTCCTAGATATACAAAGTCAATATACAAAAATCAGTTGTATTTCTATAACTATATACAATAAGCAATTGGAAATTTAAACAAGTAACACCACTACAATAGCATAAAAAACCATCAATACCTAAGAATAAATCTAATTAAAGATTTGTATGATTTCTACAACAAAAATGTAAAACACTGCTGAGAGAAAACAAAGACAGCCTAAATAAATGGAGACATAGCATGTTCATGATTTGAAAGACTCACCATTATTGAGATTTCAATTTTCCCTGAAGTGATCTACAGATTTAAGGCACTCTGAAAACAAATCCCAGGAGGATGTGTGTATAAACTAAGAAGCTCATTCTAAGCGTCACATGGAAATGCAAAGGACCTAGAACGGCCAAGGCACTGAAGAAGAACAGCTACCTACTACCAGGTATCAGATATCAACACTTACTATATAAGTAACTGATTGTGATATTGGTACAAGCGTAAACAAACAGAACAGTGGAACAGAATAGAGTCCAGGAACAGATCACATATTCGTAGTAAGCTGATTTATAATAATGGTGCTACTGCAAAAGATGGTTATTCAATATGGTGATAGACGAGTTGGATTTCCCTAGGGTCAGGGGCAGTCATCCTTGATCTCTACCCTCACCAGATATAAATAATTTTAAATGGATCAAAGACCTAAAACAAAAGATAAAACAATAAAACTCCTAGAAGAAAACAAGGGAGAATATTTTCACGATCTTGGGATAAAGAACGATTTCTTAAATAGGACATAAAAAGCGCAAGTAATAATAGAAAACCTGATAAAATAAATTTCCTTAAGAACCTCTGCTCTTTGATTAAGAATCAAAAGATATGATTTAGAGGGGAGAAGGCAAACAACAGACTAAAAAAATATATTTGTGATACACAGATAACCCATATCTAGACAATATACAGAATCCCTACAAACCAACAAGATATACAACCCAATTATAAAAATGGGCAAAAGACCTGAATGACACTTCAGAAGAGGATTATCCAAATGACCAATAAAAAGGTGCTCAACTTCAGTCATAAGGAAAATTAAAATTAAAACCACTGGAGTGGCTAACATTTTAAATTCTGGTATTACCAAGTGTGGGAAAACATGGAACAACTGGAACTCTCACAGATGAGTGAGGAGAGTAACATGGTGCCATATGTTGGAGCTATTATTGGAGAATAAAACTGGAGAGCACCATTTGCAGCTGCTCTAAGGCCTAGCAATCCCACTTCTAGGGAGAAGATGAGCATATACATCCACAAAAAATGACCTGCATAAAAATGTTCATGGCATTCTTATTCTTAGCAGCCTCAAAATGGAAACAAGAAGAAGATGTGCACACAAATTGTGGTATATTCCTGTAACGGAATACTACTGAGCAATAAGGAAGGAACTATGACATACCTAACAACATGGAAGAACCTCGAAAACATGAAAGTGCAAGAAGCTAGACACAAACAAGCCATACTGTACGATTCCAATTCTATGAGGCACAAGGAGAGGCCGAATTAATTTACGGTGCTAGCCATCAATGGTTGCTTCTGCATGGTTAATAATGTGTTTGTGTGTGTGGATTTTCTATATCTATTTTGGGTGGTGACTACATGAGCATACAGAATTGTCAAAACTCACTGAAATGAAACTTAAGTGAATTTCATTGTATATAAATTATAACTCAAAAATCATAAAAAGTTATAAGAAAAAGATGTTTATTAAAACACAGAAATATACCAAGGAATCCAAAGGATCAACAAACATTAGCATGTGGTGAGTGAAGACTGTTCTGGGCAGGGACCTCAGCCCTGCTCTGTGCTGCTCCAGGACTGCAGAGGGTCTGGGACTGTAATCACGACAGCTACAATGAAGATGACGATGGCAGCTAACACTAACTGAGTCCCTACCCTTACTTACCAGGCACCATACACACTCATTGAATCCTCACACAATCCTCTGCAGACAGCAAATTATCCCCACTTTACAGATAAGGCAATGGAAACACAGAAGTCCACCCTCAAGGCTACACAGAGAGTAGATGAAGCTGGGACTTGGACTGAGGTCATTCTGACACCAAAGCTTACAGTCTTCCCATAACCCCATACCGCTTCCTCACTGGCACCACCCCAATCCTGCCCTCAAAGCAGGGGTGTAATCTGTATGGTCTTTCCAGTGCAAGGAGTACACAGCATGTCATCTGGGCCTTACCACAAATCTGTGAGGGATGAGAGGGTAGCATTTGATCCCTACTGTATAATCTTAGCTGATATCACCTTGGAAAAGTTTGTCTTTTGAACCAGTACAACCAGCTCTGTATCCTTCTGTATTCATTTTTGGGCCAAAGAATGTATACAGCTAGCAGCAATACCTGCCTCCACACTCTGTATAAACAATGTTGACTACATTTCAAAAACTAAGTCATTCAGACCATGCACTTACATATTCTTTTTAAAAAGTATATTTCAATTAGAACTTAAATATTTGCTGAATAAGGGTCTTTCACAATTCCAAAATCGAGCTCACCTCTCTCTAAAAGTTTCCATGGCAAACTGCAAACCACGATGGGATAGATCTTTAAGAATTATCAAATTCAAACAATTATAGCAGATGAACTGACATCTTCTGCTGTTACAGTTTAGAAAAGCAACTATAGAATATATGGGAAATGTATCTTCTTCCTTTTCTTTATTTTCTGATTCCATTAAAAGGCTCAGAATGGAGCCCATTGGCAGGAGTCCACAGAGAGGGAGAAAGGGAACACTAGTTTCCAGAGGGTTCCCTCCTCTCCCAAGAATTGGAGGTAGACAGGATGAGCCTGGGCAAGGCAGGGCAGGGCTCCATGTGTTCAACAGTGATTTGATCACATTTTTTTCTCTTGTCTTTGTCACTCACCTTCAGTTGCACGGGAGGCAACAGCTTTGACGTCTAGTGAGCCTTTTCTCCTGTCTTTATGTTTGCCTGTCTGATTATCTGTAGAAACAAATGATAAATCACCTCTTCAAAGATATTTAAACAACATATTAAGGAAGGTTACCAATCTAAAATTTTTTTAAAACTCTCAACTTTAAATGTTTTAAATGCCACAAAAGTAAACACAGTACAGAGATGAAGACTATGAGAAACCAGTTTTATGGGGGTAGAGTTTCTCAAAATGTCCCACCAGGTGCACAGATAAACAAGGGCTTTACAGTTCCAGATTATGTAATTACAGAGTCCCAAGACATAAAGTGACAACTGATAGAAATGACCTCAGGAGAATTTCTCCTATTATATTTCTATATAATTGAATAAAATGATGGGAAAATTTTGATCCCCACTCATCTTGCCCCAAAGAAAAAAAATCTTTTATTTTCTCTACAAAATAAGGACTACAATATCCCAGGGAAAACATTCTTCTCTTTCCTAGGGTAGTATGGTGAACACTGTTTGAGGTATATTTCAAATGATAGCTCATCTGCCTCCCTTTCACCCCCTCTTCTCTACGAAGGACACACTACTCTCCTAGGCTTCAAACGGGGACTGTCTTTGACTCTTCTCTAATCCTGACCCCCAAACCAATCACTGACAAGGCAACTCTGACTTACCTTCCTGACCCCTTCTCTGTGCACCTGCTGGGTACCATGCATCCCCATTTCACAGACAAGGAAACTAGGAGCTGCTTTGCAGATGAGTGCATAGCAGGGTGGGCGCTGAGCTCAGCTCTTCCCACAGCCATGGAGTAGCTTCTCTGCCTTGTCTTGGCTTCCTCACTTGGAACTTCTCTCCCTGCTCATGTACAGGATCCGAATGTAGGCCCTTAGCACTTCCTTTGCACCATCGAAAAGGCTCTTCACTTGCTCTTTGCTTCTTTGCCCAATTAAACTAAATCCTCTTCTCTGTGGGCACTAAAGAGTGAATGTGTCAAGGTCACCAACGACCTCCTTTTTGCTAAATCTGAAGGCTACAACTCAATCCTTACCTGACCTGACTTGATTGTGGTACTAGACACAACTGATCCCTTTCTGGACACTTCTGTTTGCAGAGTCCACACTCTCCTGGTTTTCCTTCCACTTCTTACTACTCCTTTCTAGTTTCTTTCATGATTTCCTCCTTCCTCAGTACCCCTGGTGTTTCCAAAGGTGGTTTTTCAAAAGGTTCTATCCTTAGCCCTTCTCAGTCAACAAAACCTCCTTGGGAGATCTCATTCTTCCTATAGTTTTAATTAATTCCTATGTTGCCATCTTACCCCAGGCCTCTCTCCTGAGCTCCAGACTTACATCTTAACTTACCATTTACCACCTCACTTAGACACTCCTCAGGCACTGCAAATGAATTCATTATCCACCATGAAGTCCTTATCTTTCTCCAAATCTGCTCTTTAACCCAGATCACTGAACAGCATGTACCATAAGGTAGACAGAAGTCATCCATCACTTCTCCCCCTCCCCTCTCCTTCCACTGGGTCAGCCAAATCTAAGGATTCTACCTCCTAAACACCTCCAGTCTATCCCCTGCTCTATCCCTGTCCAAGCTCAGACATTTGTCATCCTCCCTGGATTAATGGCCTCCCAGATTGGTTCTAAAACACCAACCTTATCCCTTTCAACTTATTCTCTGCAGGCAGCCAAGCGATCGTTGTAAAACAAAAATCCAACCAGATCTCTCAATCAAAACACTTCAATGGCTCATCCTTGTCTTTAGGATAAGATTCAAACTCCTCAGTGTGGCACCCAGAGTCCTATGAGGTCTGCACCTCCTATCTCTATCCACCTTGAACTATTTATGATTTGTTAATTTGCCTCCCAAACCTCTATGATTTGGTACAAACCACCTACTTGGAAATGTGCCTCTCCCCTGCCACCTTCTTCGCCTGGTTACCTCTGATCTTCTTTGAAGATGCAGTTCAGGTATCCTAACTTTTGGGAAACCTTCCCTTAAAGTCTCTCCACACCACCCCAACAGTGCTGGGTAACAGCCTGCTTTATTGTCTTGCCTTCTTGCCTTCCTTGCTAACATGAATGACTTGAGGGCAGGGACAGTTTTTCCTGTCTTTCCTAGGTGACCAGCTCTGTGCCTACCATCTGCTGGAAGAAGCATATGTGTATAGAAGCTCAATAAATACACATCTGCTTCACCAAAAACCTGCACCTTCCTGTGCACAAATCAAAGTTCTGTTAAATCAGCCACTCTGATTCTGTGGCTCCCCTGCTCAAAATCCTTCAGCGTCTCAGAGATAAAGAACTTCCTGGCATTCAAGGGCAGGTAAGGATGGCCTGCAGCAGCCTGCCTTTCATCTCTCACTGTTTCCCATGAATGTACTGCATCAGCACAACTGCTCCGCCTTCCATCTCTGGAACAGCCTTGACACCGGCTCCTTCTGTCTGAGACACAACACTGCACCCTCTCCAAGTGTTCATTCCTTCAAATTTCCCCTCTTCTCAACCACATGGAGCTGGAAATGTGTCTCCTTCCTCTGAGCTTCATGATGAGTAATGTCCACATAGCCACCTGATGAGCCTGGACTGAGAACTTATGATTATTTGTTCCTTCATTCTTCTCTCTTTTATTCCACTCAACAAACCTTCACCCACCATGTGTGATGCCCTAAGCTAGGCATTAGGGAGGTGAAAATGAATGAGGTATAGTCCATGAACTCGAAAGGAGATGGTCAGTGGGGAAAAGGGTGGGTAAACTAGGAGTTACAGTAATAATTCTGAAGTTCAGGAGGAGCCTGGAGGGGGAAGTGGCAGATTCTCAAGGGAGTGGGGGCAGAAAGGAGATGGATGGAGTCTTGTAGCTGCAGCCAAGATGAGGAGGAGGACGACAGCATTTCCAGGAGGAGGAAACTGCTTGTGCAGATGGAGCAGTGTGGCTGGAGAGGAGCAAGCAGCAGAGGGTGTATGAAGGACGCACTGTGAAAAGTGGAGGGAGACTAACCAGGCTTTAATTTCTACTTGACTGTTTCAAAGTTACTTTATGTAAATACAAGATCCTCTTGTTCCCAAAAGCCCTGCTAAGCTCACTGCTCCCCTAGTCCCTGTAGCACGTTATAGATGATTCTAGCAATTTTCGCCCAGTGGGTAGAGATGGACCACGTCTCCACCCTGTCACCCCAGCACCCAGCTCTCAGAAGCTCTCCTCAGGGAACACCAAGAGGTTGAAGATGAAGTGTGAGGCTTACATCCCAATGAGACTACCAGCTCCTGAAGGCGTGCTGCGCCCAGGGCCTCATGCTTACTGGGTGCTCAGAAAACACATACTCATCCTGAGGTATCCGGCCTGCCAGTGGAGAGAACACTAACTAGGCCTCCATAGCCAGGGCTTGGGCTCAGGATCACCTGCAACTTCATGTCTCTGCTCTTGGCTTCCTGTTCTGTAAAATAGGGTCCATAAACTCTGCCCACCCTTTCAATACAGAAAAATTAATAGCATTTCCTTGACCTGCTGGGTAAATCCAGGAAACCCTGGAAAAACAGTGGGGGTGATGAGAGAGGATAACCAATCAGTACCCCTCAAAAACAGCAGCTTCCTCCAACTCGCATTAGCCCTGCAGCCTGGAAGTATGAGTTCCAGTTTGGATATGAGGAAGTCCAGACCCCAGTATTTTATGTGACTTGCCCAAAAGTCATTCTGCCGGGACCACAGCTGACTGTCGGAACATCTCCTCAGGCACTATCAACAAGCATTTGCAGAGCACTTACTCTGCAACAGGGCCACCTCCAAACTGCCAAGCCCACAGGACTCTCTGCACATGGGCCTCTGGTAACTACCTCTTCCTCCCAAGAAAGCTCACTTTCTCCAGGCACAGACCAAATCTCCCAACTCTTTTCAATCATCTATGAGGCCTCTAACAATGGCCCCAACCCTGGTAGCCCATGAGAACACCTGCAAAGTATGAGGCCTGGGTTCCATTCCATACCACCTGAACAAGAACCAGAGCCTGTCACATTACTGGCAAGGCATGTCCTGACCACCTCCTCATCCCCTGCATGCCCAATCCCCTGGCTTTATTCTTCTCCACAGAACTTAGCACCATCTGATATACTGTATGTTTATTTGCTTACTGTTTACCTCACCCCCAGATAGAAACATATCTTGCAAGCAGAGACACAACTGCACTGAGTTTGGATGAATGATGAATGAATGAATTCATCCTGCTCCTCAGTGCTCCCCTGGCCATTATTCACGTCTATTATTGCTGGACTCCTTTCTTGGTACTCAGTCTTCCTGCCTCACTTTCTCTCTTCAGAATAGTTGGCCCAGGGCCAAAAGTTTTGGCTTATCACTTCAGATGTGGTAAGTTCAAATCTAAACTTACTATCCACTCCCTGTACAAACCTGCTCTTTCTTACGATCTTATTTGCACTTGTTATTTTAACTAATGTTATCCAGTGGCCAAGCTAGATATCTTGGTGTCATTCTGAAGTCTTCTCTTTATCCCACACAGTAAGCTGGTTCCCAAATCCTACTGATTATACTTAAGTAACTCCTGAATCCAGTCTCTGATTGGGCTCCTGAGGCTGGATTCAGGAGTTACTTTGTCTTCAATCTCTTTTCTCCATGACTGTCTTCCTAAGACCTGACCCTTTCCCATTTACCTATTTATAAAGATTCCCTTGGTCTTCCTCTGCCTACAGGATGAATCCAAACTGGCCTGCCCCAGCCTCGCTTCGCGATGCCTTTATGGGTGCTGCTTCTCCCATCTTGTCCTCTGCATGACCCCTACTTCTCTTCAGACACCAGGTCAACCATCATCATCATCATTGCTGGGAAGCATTCCCCAGCTTTTCTCCAGTGTGGTACTACAAACCACAGCATATTCAAATTATTTTCTCCTGCCACCAGACAGCGAAACTCATGTTCATTTCTGTATGCTTACAGTCAGGCTCAGGGCCTGACCTAGAACAAGTCAATAGACTGGACAGTTGTCACTACAATTTGGTGTCCTCAGTGAGACAGTGTCACGTGAAAACAACACATGGGCCAGGGAAAAGGGAGCATGTATTGGGATTTTATTACTCTTTTGGATGCCCAGACCCTGAACCTTCCTTCCCATGTCTGGGAGTACTAAGTCCTCTCAGTAGGGGAGGGAGAAGGCCAGAGACTCCACTGCTCCATACCCAGTTAGTGACAGAGTAGGTGACACAGGCCCAGACAAATGAGTGCTTCCTTCCAAGAGTCTGCTTTTGAGTGAGGTAAGGAAGCGAGGTGTGAAGAAGCTATGCTACCCGTGGTGAGAACAGCAACACCCTATAACCAGATCTCAACAGGGCCAGTGGTGCTCAAAGCTCAGTAGTGACAGCAGTGGCCCCCTAAGCACAGTGCTCCTATGGCATGCCTACGGCAGTGGGGACAATTGCTCAGCTTCCCCAGGTTCTTGCTTCCTTTTCCAAAACTAGTTCTAGAGCTTTGTTGTCCAATCTATAAGCAACCCTATTTCCTTCCAGAAAAAACTCCTTTTCTGCTGAAGAATTGATTTCTGTTGTGTATAACCAAGGACTTTGGCTGGCCCATGGCCTATAACAGCTCCACCCTGCCTTCTCAAGTGAAGATGGCCAGTTGAGACCTTTGGACATAAAGGTGGTTATGCTGCTAAGGGGGTAGGTAGGATGGGCAAGTGGCTCACCTGGGTGGGATGGGTAAAACTCCTAAGTCAACGGTGACCAAGTAAAACGACCAAATGCCCTGGTACAAATGCAGTTTGGGAGATGCTCCCCCTGCCGAACATTTCCTCTGACTGCATCACTGACTCTGCCTCTCAGTCCCAGCTCTGCCATATCCCGGCTGCCCAACTCTAGGCTGTCTTTCAACTTTTTTCTTTTTTTAGACAGAGTCTTGCTGTCGCCCAGGCTGGAGTGCAGTGGCGCGATCTCAGCTCACTGCAGCCTCTGCCTCCTAGGTTCAAGCAATTCTCGTGCCTCAGCCTCCCCTGTAGCTGGGACTACTGGCGCGTGTCACCACACCCGGCTAATTTTTTGTATGTTTGGTACAGACAGGTTTTCACCATGTTGCCTAGGCTGGTCTCAAACTCCTGGGCTCAAGCGATCCACCTGCCTTGGCCTCCCAAAGTGCTAGGATTAGAGGTGTGAGCCACCACACCTGGCTCATTGAACTTTTCTGAGCCTCAGTTTCTTCCTCTGTAATAAAGGAATATAAATAATAGTCATACCTACTTTACAGTGGTATTCTTTTTTTTTTTTTTTTGAGATGGAGTTTCACTCTTGTAGCCCAGGCTGGAGTACAATGGCGCGATCTCGGCTCACCACAACCTCAGCCTCCCGGGTTCAAGTGATTCTCCTGCCTCAGCCTCCTGAGTAGCTGGGATGACAGGCATGCGCCACGACGCCTGGCTAATTTTGTATTTTTAGTAGAGACGAGGTTTCTCCATGTTGGTCAGGCTGCTCTCAACTCCCGACCTCAGGTGATCTGCCTGCCTCAGCCTCCCAAAGTGGTGGGATTACAGGTGTGAGCCACTGCGTCCAGCCCTATGGTACTCTTCTTAAGAGTTAAAAAAAAAAAAATGCTTACAACCAAGTAAAAGCCCCCTGTGAACTTGTGGTGTAGGACTCTCCATAACAGGCCCACACATGCTGCTTTCTACTCTGACTCCTCCAGCCCCTGCAATCTGGCTTCTGCCCTCGCCATTCTCCTGAAACTGCATGTCTGCAGGTCACACACGAGCTCTTGAATGCAAAGCACAAGTTTTTATCCATCTCTGGCTCCATATCCCCCTCCCTCCCTATGTGTGCTTCAGCCCTGACCAGTCTTGATGCTTCCCGTTCTCCCCGCCTTCAGCTTCAGCAACGCTCTCCAGACTCCCTCGTCCCTCTAACCCCTCTTTTCCTGCTTCTGTTTCCTCCTTCTCTGGAGGTGGGTGGTCTCTAGGAATCCACCTCACCCCTCCTCTCCTTTTCTTGCTGTTCTCTTCCACTGTAATCTCAAAGTTTCCATTCCCCTTTACCATCCCTGGTTTCCATCACTTCCACATCTGTGCTACTTGCTAATGCTTGGCTGGCCAGAAACATTTTCATCTCTAGACCTAACCTCTTTGCAGAACACAGAAGCCAGCACTCAGCAGGTACTCAACAGAAATCTGTAGAATAAATGGGCAAAGGGGTGAACAAACAAACCCACCTGACTGCCCACCAGGACCTCACAGGTAGAGCTCTCCACATTCATCCTCCCCAGCCCTACTGCTACTGCCTGAATCTCCAGGCTCAGAAACAACCTTTTCAAGGACTTTCTTGCTTTTCTCTCTCTAGTCCCACACCATCATCACATCTGGTCTCTCTTCTCTCTTCCTACTGTCATCACCTTATTATTCCCTGGCCATTGTTTTCTTTCCTCTCGACCATGGCAATGCTGGTATTCTTCTCTCTGGTGTCTCCTTCCATGTAATCTTACATACATGCTCTAAGAGCTTCTCAAAGCTCAGATGTCATCACGCTGCTCCCTGACTCACAAATCCTCAGACTCCCACTGTCCACAGATGAAAATGGAAACTTCCCACCTAGCATTTAAGGATTCTTATTGACCCAAATACCTCTTTCCCCATTGACCTTTTATACAAGTCAAAATTTAGTACTTGCTTTTTCTGGAACATGCCCTGTACTTTCCCCCTTCTATGCCTGTTTTTATTGCTGGAATGCTTTCCCGCTCACATTTCTTTTCTATTCAAATCCACCTCTCCCTGTCTAGAAGACTACCCACTGCCCTTTCTCATTCCTGGGGATCACTTCTTATCACTTGCTGTGTTCCTTTGTGTCAATGTGTCTCTCTTTTCAGACTAAATCTCTGATTGCTCCTGGGGCACCCATAAAAACTGTGCTTCAGAGCCCTAGTGTCAGTCCTCCTGGATTCAGGTGCTAGCTCTGCCACTTCCTAAATGGAGATCCTTGGGCAGATTACTTAAACTTTCAGTTTCCTTACCTGTAAAGAGAATTTCACCTAAAAATGCTTACCTCCTTGAGTTATTCTAAGGCTTCATTAAAATAAGCTGTACCTAAAGCACTTAGGACAGGTATCTTGTACACATTAAGTGCTCACAAAAATATGTAGTAAGTGTTTCTAGAATGAAAGAATGAACTGTTCTGGTAAGGCAGAAAGCATGTCACCAACAGCATGAAGGGAAGTCTTCTCCTTAGAGGCTCTTACAGACCACATGGGCAAGCAGAGCACACTACTCAGGCAAGGCAGGGTGGCACGCCAAGTGTCTACACAGACACTTGACGGAGCACCTCCTGCCTGAAGCTGGAGTGGCGCTTCACCATCCCAGCCCAGCCCCTTCATCTGTGAGGGCCAGAACAGGAAGTGGCTTGCTGAAGTCATGACACGTTTGAAGGAAACAGGTGACTCCAAACCAGGGAAATGCATTTGCAGTAAGAAAGCTATGGGGAAGAACAGATGGTGTCCAAGGCATGGTTAAGAAACATAGAGGTGAGGCAAGTGCGAGGGGCCTGGCTACCTCCCTGCAGGCTGGCAGTGGTAAGTGTCAGGACAGATGAAGACATCCCTGTTAAAGGACTGTGGGATAAACACTCAACCCTCTTAAAGTATAAATCAGGTTATAAAACCACACTTCACATGAGTTCATGCATTTCAGTTGACCATTTCTTTCCCTCGCAGGCTCAGAGACCCGCCCCAGGGCACCCATCAGAATGCTCACAAGCGCTCAAGTCCTCTGTACAAGTGACTCATAAGCCAGCCTGGGGAGTCAAGGAGAGAAATGTTGCCACAGTCTGAGGAAAATCCCACCATTACACCAGGCAAGCTAGTTAAAGATCTGTTTTTATTTTTTTTCTCCAAAAACTCAATGAACTCTAAGAATAAATACGGGGCACCGTACCTGTATGAGTGTCAGACTGAACACATTCGGATATTTTCTCAGCCTAAAAGTGAATTTTAAAAGCCATTAGTTCTGATTGCTGAAAATCTTGCTGGGGTGTTCCTGGGGCCCCGGGGGGCTCTCCTTACGTACCTTATTGTTGCCATTGCACACTCTGATAATGGACACATAGTGTCTAATTTTTCTGCAAGTAAAAAACAATGCATTATTTCTCTTCTGAGTCTCTAATTTGATGGATATGTCGTTAATTTTTCATTACGAAAATGGCACCTCCCTTTTGCAATACACAAAACGCTCTGAGAACATTTCTTCTCACTGTGACCAAGGCCACCAATAAATAAAGAAGAGATCACAAACATCCTTTGGCGTCTCTGTACAAGTGACTTCAGTAAAAATGACAAAATTCTTCCCAATTAATCATGAGACAATCAAATATACATATTTTTTAAAATGAACTGCATGTTAACCAACTGAGAGCCTTTAGTTCCTTAACATGTTTTTATTTTCACAACCCTTTACATTGATGCTTTTCTTCAAGTTCCAACAAACAATCTGCTCACGGTCACTGGTGGCCACAGCCGCGGGCCACACTGGGAGTTGAGGTTCACACTGAACGTGGTTAGCTAGATGTCTAAAACAAAGCAACGAGGGCTTAGCTCAGAGGCTGCTGACTCTTCTCATTTATTTATTGTTCCTTCAGTTTTTTCACTTTTTCCCCTTGATAATCAAATCCCTATATACTTACCACAAAAAAATTGGAAAGGACATAAAAGGGCAAAGAATCAGAACAGAGAACCCACACAGATCCATCTCCCTGAGGCGATCACCAACTGGCAGCAAAGCCTGGTGACAAAGCACGTGAGCTGTGCAGTCAGTGCTGAGGTCTGCAGCCTGGCTGCGCCTCACGCTGGCAGCTGGACCCCTGGGCTAGAAACCTGACCTCTCTAAGCCTCAGTTTCCTCATCTGTAAAGTGGAGACGATCACAGTCCCAACCTCACAGGGCTGCAGTTAGGATGGAATGAAGTGGCATTTACCACACATTGAGAACTGGCCAGGAAGGGAGGGGCTCAATTAAACAACAGCGGTTACTACAACGGCCACTGCCATACTTTCTCCTGTTCTTTTTTCCTTCTTTTCTTTACATGATTGAGATTAAACACTAGCTATCATTTTACATTTTACTTTTTGCATTTAACATTGTATCATAACCTTTCTCATATTTTATTTTTTTTTTTCCTTTTGAGACAGTGTCTTACTTTGTTGCCCAGGCTGGAGTACAGTGGCATGATCATAGCTCACTGCAGCCTCGACCTCCCAAGATCAAGCGATTCTCCCACATCGGCCCCCTGAAGTAACTGATAGGTGTGTGTCACCACACCTAGCTAATTTTTACATTTTTTGTAGGGATGGGGGTCTCACTATATTGCTCAGGCGGATCCCAAACTCCTGGGCTCAAGGGATTTTCCCACCTTGGCCTCCCAAAGTGCTGGGATTACAGGCATGAGGTAATTTAATTTTCTATGATCATCATTTCTACTTTTTTTGGCCCTCATCTTAGAACCTGTGAATATGATCATCATTTCTAATGGCTGCAATATTTTAGGTGTTCTATAATTCATATTCATAATTTTCATCTTACCATATTATTTCTTTAAGATAGGTTTCTGAGATAAACTGTCTGAAAGTTTTAGGCTCCTGATATATACTGGTTTCCAATCTACAGTCACATCTGTTTTATATAGGAATGTCCATAACTGTTAGTATTTAAAATATTTTTATCTAATTTGATAGGTCTCTGCAGAAATAATACATAGCCTATCAAATTAGATAAAAAATCTTTTCAATATAGGGAGTCTACCAGTCAGTATTATCACACAACTTACTAAAGTGACATTCTGACTTAAACAAATACTTCAGTTTCTTGTGTATCCACGCAGCTTAAACAAGACTGCCCAGAGTATGTTGGCTCTGGGCTGCAAGTAGAGGGTCAGACTGTAGCCATGAGGAAGTCACCAAGAAAACACTATGCTGGAAGGCCATTCTGTGATGACACCTGACCTTGACACTTCTGTCAGCAGTCCTTAACTTAAATATTCAAAGCAAATTCTGCAATAACCCAAAACACTGTATGTTGATTGATGTACTTGTTTTTTCCACTTACCCTCCCTGTCCAATGACAGGTATTATCTTCACATTTTGTTGTATATTATCTCCGTTTTTCTTTTTGGCATAGTAAATTCCTTGCCACTCCTATAAATGGAATGTAAGCATCGTCATACTTTGTGTTGAAAACATAAACCCAAGAACATTTTCCACTTCAGTTCTGATTCACTTACATTGCTAAAGCAATTAAGATAAAAAATGATCCCAACCCCAAACTGATTTCAGGTAATAGGACAATTCTTTCTTAACTTCCAAAGTCCACCTCCTTCTGAGTTGCTGACAAAAGTCAGGTCACCATAGTCTAAGTGGTCATATATTTTCAGTGGCCATCTGCAGACAAGAGGGGTCCTGGACCCCCAAATAAAGGGCACTCCCCCTTACTTCCTCCTCTCATAACTCCCACCTGCTGAAGTGGAAGAGGGGGCTTAGCCTCTGCCCCTGTGTTTGGGAGGGGAAGAATAGCCAGACTGGGGGCCAGAAGGGACCATTATGTGGCCACTACCGGCTTCTGAGGTGAACTAAATGGCTTGAGGCCCTTCTGGGATGTGTGAAGGCTTCACCCCCTGTATATAGGGTGTGGAGGATGAGATAACAGCCAGGACCAAGCTCAAGTAAAACAAACGACGAGACCTCAAAACCCAGGGCTGAAATCACATTAGCTGTGCTCTCCTGATCAGACACAGAACGTGGGGATTCTTTCAGACAGGAAGTGCAGCCTGGGGAAAGAGGGCTACACAGAACAAGACCACAGCAAGAGAACCGGGCTGTGGTGACTCCCTTTATCTTGGGGTGGTAGGGAAAGCCAGGATGGAGCTGGGTTTTGTCACCGTCCTAAAATGTTATGAATTCCTCCAAGAAAATCACCAAGGCCCTTAAACTATGGAAATCCCTAAAACCCACAACAGGACACTGAACCCCTAGGGTATTCCATAACCTTTCTTAGCCTTCCAGAGTCCCTCAGGACCTAGAGTTGACCCAGGCTGGGTGTTAAGCACCATGGCAGCCTTGTTGGCTTAGCTGAGGTTTGCTATCCAGAGCCCTACTCCAGGTCAATTCTGAAATATTCTTGTTTGGTACATGGCAACCTGCATCCAAATACCAATGATAAGAGCTCATCTTCAGACTCCTCTGGGAAAGCAGATCAAAAAGAAACCAGAATACTCCGATAGAATCAAAGGATGATTACTGATGCTTACTGATATAATTCTGAAAACAATGGGCACCAAAAAAGGGCTATATCAAAAAACAGCCAGAAAGCCCAGCTGAGTCCTTAGGTCACACTGGAGTAGAAGGGAGGTATGGGCCTTGGTACAGTTCTGAGGGGGAGCTCAGCCCACAGGACGAGGCTTGTAGTCCAAAGCCACCAAGGACTAAACAGGGTTCCCTAGGCAGAAATAAGTGGGTTGTCCTCCATGTCCACAACTTGCATGTCTACCTTAGAAGGAAGGCTTCAGCAGACAGGTCTAAGGGTTACTTCTAAAGCTCACTATCAAGGGGAATATGGGAAATTAATTGTGACATTTGCAAAACTGTGAATATACTAAGAACCACCAAATAGTATACTTTCTTTATCTTTTGAGACAGGTTCTCGCCATTCACCCAGGCTGGAGTGCAGTGGCACAACCATGGCTTGTTGCAGCCTCAACCTCCCAGGCTCAAGTGATCCTCCTACCTCAGCCTCCCAAGTAGCTGGGACCACAGGCACATACCACCATGCCCAGCTATCAAATAGTATACTTTCAATGGGTGACTTGTATGGCATAGAAATTACATCTCAATAAAACTGTTACATTAAAAAAAGAGAGAGAAAAAAATTACAGGGACCAATTCAATCAGTCAGCATTTAAAAAAATATATTCAGGCCAGGCACAGTGGCTCACGCCTGTGATCCCAGCACTTTGGGAGGCTGAGGCGAGTGGATCACGAGGTCAAGAGATTGAGACCACCCTGGCCAACGTGGTGAAACCCTGTCTCTACTAAAAATACAAAAAATTAGCTGGGTGTAGTGGCATGTGCCTGTAGTCCCAGCTACTCGGGAGGCTGAGGCAGGAGAATCGCTTGAACCTAGGAGGCAGAGGTTGCAGTGAGCAGCCTGGTGACAGAGCGAGACTCCGTCTCAAAAAACAAAAACAAAAACAAAAAATATATATATAAAAAAAATATATATATATATATTCAGGATCTTCTTGTCCTTTCTGAATAGACTTGGGTGACTGAGCGATCCCAAGTCAAGGCTAACAGGCCATTCCAGGCAAAGTTCCACAGTCCATCTAAAGGAGCAGGACAATTTAGGCAATGGCTTGGCTAGGGTAACAGAGTCAATAAGTTTTCCAGTCACCAGAGGAAACAAAAAATATTTACTTACATAAATATCATATAAGATTTAGTTCCAGCTGGGCACAGTGGCTCACGCCTGTAATCCCAGCACTTCTGGAGGCCGAGGCAGGCAGATCACGAGGTCAGGAGTTTGAGAGACCAGCCTGGCCAACATGGTGAAACCTCGTATCTGCTAAAAGTACAAAAATTAGCCAGGCGTGCTGGTAGGCGCCTGTAATCCCAGCTACTCAGGAGGCTGGGGCAGGAGAATTGCTTCAACCCGAGAGGCAGAGGTTGCAGTGAGCCGATATCACCCCACTGCACTCCAGCCTGGGCAACAGAGTGAGACTCTGTCTTGAGGAAAAAAAATATATATATATTTAGTTCCTGAGAATAATAATAGTACAACCTTAGAGTACTACCATGAAGATTAGGTTGGGTAATTCACATAAACTCTTAGCAAAGTCCTGACATAACAGTAAACATTCAGTAAATGAGCTGGTTTGGGTGCAGGTGGTTTGCATAGGCCTCTTTCTCCAGGCCAAGCTCCCCTCAGAACAGGAGTAAGACTATTACCTCCCTTCTGTCTGCTACAAGCTATGCACCAAGCTATTGATGCAGTCCCTCTTGGCACCCGCTGTCTTGAGAATTAAATCATCATCATCCAGCCATCCTATCCCCAGGGTGGGCACAGTGTGTGCACATGATAAACTGTCAAAGAACACTTGGGGCTTTTGTTACTGAATGGGAAAGGTAGGCTGAGGTTCAACTATAGAATCCTGGCAGCCAAGCTGAGGACTATGAGCTCTATGCTGAGGAAGCAACATGACAAAATGATGACTCAGTAAGACTAATCAGGCAGTAGTGTATGGTGGACCGAGTGGAGATGGAGGATTCCGGACAAGGAGACAGAGTTACACACTGTAACTCCAGAGTGTGGGAAGAAGGCCCTGAGCAAGGTCAGGCCCAGGCAATGGACCCTCAAAACAGGGGTTTAACAGCCATCAATGCTTGTGGATTTGATGGAGGGGACCAACGGGGAGGAAGGGATCAAAACCATTTCAGGAATCTAAGTCAAAGCAACTGTGAGGTAGGTCCATGAGCAGAGACAGCAGGATTTGGAAGAGAGATTGGGTTTTTGGGAGATGAGAGAAAACCATTGCTAGACAATTAAGATGATAGTAGGATGCTGAACCAGACCTTGGAAAAGAGGCTGACACTAAAACCAGAGAAGTGTGAGATTTCTACACAGAGCAGAAAAGATACTTCAACAACAAAGGAACATTCTGAGGGACAACAGTAGGGGGCAAAGGCCAGAGTTCTGGTAAATCTGGGAGGAAATGGAAGAAGAGTAGGAAAAGGGGAGACAGTGAGAGGAAAGCAAAGGCACAGGAGCTAATGAAGGTAAAAGTTTTGAAATGCTGAAGATTTCTGCAGCTGCACATCATCATCTTAGGCATCTAAGTAGCCACCATTTACTTGGTACCCATTAAATGACAAAAGAAGAACACACAGTTTCTGAGGGAGGGAAAAAAAAAATCAAGATTTTTAAAAGAGGCCAAGCATGGTGGCTCACGCCTGTAATCCCAGTACTTTGGGAAGCTGAGGGAGTAGGACTGCTTGAGCCTAGGAGTTTGAGACCAGCCTGGGCAACACAGTGAGACCCCATTTCTAAAAAATATGCTTAAAAAATTAGCCAGGTGTGATGGTAGACACGTGTGGTCCCAGCTACTTGGGAGGCTGAAGTGGGAAAATCGCTTGAGCCTGGGAGATCAAGGCTGCAGTGAGCCAAGATCGTGCCACCGCACTCCAGCCTGGGTGACAGATCAAGTCCATGTCTCAAGAAAAAAAAAAAAGATCTCTAAAAGAGAATTGACAATATAAAGTTTAGGTATCTGAGAAGATGGGAGACTATGGGTTCTAAAGCCCTGATAGACAAGTCTTGGGGAAGAAGAAAAAAGAGAAGAGTCAGGTGGATATACATATAGGATGCAAAGAAGCCTAAGTGCGGGGGCTGGAAATCAACATACCTGTTATTTTTACCCAAAAGAGGAGCCACTGACAACAATGGGCAGCAGGGTTTGTGGAGATGGAAAATGTTTATAATATTCCCTGCTTGAACATCAGCAAAATTTCTCTTCTGCCCCAAGGTCAAACTTCAATATCCAACACCTAGCATCTGACACTCCAAGGTCCCAACTCCTAGCCATCTGGCCATTTCCTAAGTCTCCATTCTGCAATGCTGGTCTCCAGCAGATGCCTGAATTCCCCTTCCTGATCACAGTGCCACTGTTCCATAAGGCCTGCTGACCCCTCAACAAGCCCTGTTCCCCGGAGATGGAATTATGGATTCTTTCACCTCAAAACACAGGCCAGCTCAGCGGCCTGCCCTGCTGCCATGTTGCCCATAGACCAGCAGGTTCCTGACAAAGGACAAAGGTTGCTTTTCCATGCTCCCCAAAAACTGTGAAAAACGAAACAAATACCCAGGCTCTTTTTAGAAATAAAGCAGTACAGGCCAGCTGCAGTGGCTCACACCTGTAATCCCAAAACTTTGGGTGGCCGATTATCGGACTGCTTGAGCCCAGGAGTTCGAGACCAACCTGGACAACATACAGAGAACCCGTCTCTACAAATAATTAAAAAATTAGGCATGACGGCATGTGCCCGTGGTCCCAGCAACTCAGGAGGCTGAGGTGGGAGGACTGCCTGAGCCCAGGAGGTCAAGGCTGTTGCACCTCTGCATTCCGGCTTGGGTGACAGAATGAGACCCTGTCTCAAGAAAAAAAAAAAAAAAAGGAAAGCAGTATAGGGGTCAATAATTTGATGATGTTTCCTATTCCTTGCTCACAATAAGTATAATTTTAGAGAGCAGGTCTCTTGCTATTCAAGTTTGAGGGCTTTTGTTACCTGGTGCCCAAGAGCACAACCCCAGCAAAGGTGAGACACAGTTCACACAGAACTGGATGGAGCCCAGCACTTATAGCACATCCCTTCCTTACCTCTACTTGCCTCCTCAGTGAGAGGGACATGGAATGCCTCAGTGGAAGTTCTGCCACATCAAGGTGTACAAGGCCCATCCTGGTTCATACCCAGTTGAACCTCACAACAAAACCACTGGCTCATCCAGTAGCAGCAAGGAACCTAAATGCCAGGATTGAGGTGGTCATGGTAACACCCCCACCATGGCTGCTGTGGTCTCGGATGACTGCTGCTCTGTGGCCTCCTTCTGAGTATGCTCTTCTCAACCATGGAAAGGAATACTTGCCCTCACCTACATGGTGCACCTGAGCACCTGAGGGTCTCTTCATCCATCTCAGCCTTCATACCTCTCTTTCTAGAGGACCTTCCACTCCCTCTAGTAAAAAAACGAAACAAAACAAAAAAAAACAACAACAAAAAAAATCCTTGACAGAAAAGTTGAAGGCAAAATAGAGCAGTGCCTACTTTTGTCATTCCCCTGGCAGGGCTTCACTGGGCCCCTGCAGCTGGCCTATTATTTCCTTGTTCTCACTTCAAGGCAATGTTGTGTGCTCAGAGGCATAGGAAAGGCAAGAAAAACAGGCCCATTCATGGTGTCTTCATGGGGTCCAAGATGAGCGGAGTATAAGCTTTGCACAGCACCCTGCCCCTGTGGTAAGCTGCTGTTTTGTGCTACAAGATAGGAACTAGCCAAATGCCATAGGGGAGACAGTATCACTTCCATCAGTGCCTCCACAGAGCAGGCTGCACAAGTCACCAATTTTTCAAATGTTTGAAATAATCAGATTAATAGTCTCTACCCAACTTCCAAAAGCAAAAAAAAAAAAAAAAAAAAGTCCAGCAGAAAGGACCATGAATGATTGTGAAAAGCAGTAGCCTTTTCCTTCTCATCATATTTTAAAATCTGTCACAGTGAGGCACTATCAGAGGCTGTGGTTCACAGAAATAACCTTTCAGACTGAGCCTGCCTTTCTTCTGCCTGTTCCTTCAGCACCATGATTATGTGACTTCTTACATTATTGAATAATAGTTACTTTTATTTGTCTGTTTCCAACCCCTGAATATGAGCTCTCTAAGGCAGGAATTTTTGTTTTGCTCTTCTTTCCATACCAGAATCTAGCACAGTGTCTGGCTAACAGAAGGCATTTTTAAAATGCTCAATGAATTAACGAGGCTTGGAGAAATCTTGGGCTCAGATGTTTTCTGAGAATGTGTTGCCTTACTGGCAATTCTTTACCCAGAACCATTTGCCAACATCTACAACTAAGAAGACCAATTATTAGAAATATCAAGTTATTAACTTACTACAAAGATAAAAACAATGATTGTTAAGTGTCAATTCAAGTTACTTTGCTTATTGGCTAATCATATTATATATTTTCTTGGCCCCAGTTTCCTCACCTGCAAAATGGATATAACAGGGATAACATTCCCTATACTTCCCTGGGCTGCTGGGAGGAGTAAGATTAAGATTACCTGGTAGTACTCAATGAACACTAAGTCTTCCTTCTCTCTGTGTTGTGAAAGTTAAAAAAGGCACTGACCTCTTACTTACCTTGCCTATCCTGATGCATGAATTTATAGTATCGAGCAAGTCAGCCTTTTTTTCATTTATAGGCACTTCTCCTAACTCCTTCCCTATTAATTCACCTGACTGATAGCCCATTGTTGTTTCAAATGCAGGATTTGCATACTGAAGGGAGACAAAAGAAAAAACATAAAGTGAATTAAAAGTCATTTTGAAAAAGAGGACAATCAAAGGTCTTCGACCTAAGCCCTTCAGGTTTTTCCCCAGAAAAAGCTCAGGAGCCTGGACCTCACCGTGGCAGTTGTGAAGCCATAAGCACATAACCCACGAAGAATTCTGGAGCCCAGACGAGCTTCTGCTTGGGTGATACCCGGCTGGGCTTTCTGCTATGTTCTCCTGAGGCTCCAGGAGGGCAGCAGGCCCACTCCCACTTCAACAGGGGCAGAGGAAGGGATGTGCACAGCGCCAAACCAGGAGCTGCTACAACAGGGCTGTTTAGATGGGGGTGGGGGTGGGGGGATGATGGAATAAAGCACCAGGTAGAGTGCAAAACACTCAGGCTGTCCTCCCCCTCCACACATTGACCTCAGCAAGTCACTTAATCCCTCTGAGACTCTTATCCGGATATGGGAATGAAACAGTTCTCTTGTCTCTTTCATATGGTTCGAATAAATGATGTGTATGGAAAGCAGGCTATGAACTAAGAAGTAATTACAAATGTAAGGCTTTATGGTTAAGTTTCAGATATGACTGTAAGATAAGCAGAAAATACATGGGAAAACTGTGCACGTGCTAATGATGATGATGATAAAACAATAATTGATACTATCTGTCAGGGTCCATTTTCCTCACTGGGCACTATAGTAAACACTTCACATACATTAATTCATTTAGTCCTCATGACATCCTTACAAAAGGCAGGCTGTTGTTCTTACTAATATTATTTCCATTTCCACAGATGAGAAAGCAGATTCAGCTGGATTAAACAACTTGCCCAAAGTTGTTCAGCTGAAGCAGGATGGAGCCCAGGCCCGTCTGACACCAAAGCCTGTGCCCTCAAACACTGGCCCACGCTGCCTCTCAGGGCACCAACTCAAAGTCAACACCATCACCTCTTCAACAAGGAAGTCACAAGTCATATTAAAGTGAAAGACTGGAGAGCCCAGAAGTAAGAAAGACTGGAGAGCTCCAAAGTGGAGCTAATTCTCAGACAAAATGAATGTCTTTTTCTGGTGCAACTCCCTTTTTTGCTGTTATCTGAAAACATTAAGCTATGTTGCCTTAAGTCACTCATATAAACCCACTTTGCTAATAATGTGTAATTTATTCAGCACTTACTAGGTATGTTATTTCTGAAACTTTTAGTTGTTTCTAGTATATTTCTGTAAGTGCAAATTATCTTCAAAAACAGTGAGAAAGGTGAAAGACTTGTACTTGCAGACCTATGGTCAGGGCATTCCCCTTCGTACAACAGCACTACCCCCAAGCCCCCAGCAATCATCCTTTTCAGTGAGTCTCTCCTTGTTAAATAAACAAACTAGTGGAAATAATGAATGCAAATGTGGCATTTCTACAGGCATTTTCTAGCACCTTAATTATTAGTATGTTTTCTAATCTATAGAGAGCTTATTTTAAATTACATATTTGATTTTGTTCTGATAATCCTCGAAGGAAAAACTGGTCTCCTAAACTTCAAAAAGAAAAAAAAAAATCATATTGGAGAGGTTCAATCCTAAAAGTTGGAAAAAGCAAAACAAGAAATCCAGAAAGACAGATTTCCAAAATAACAAACCTGTATAAAACGGTCTTCGCTTGTAATTTCAATTGCATCTTCACTGTTTTCTAATGCAGTGAATACTGAGTTACAAGCCCTTTATGAGTAAACAAAAAAAGGAATGATTAATGTAAATACTACAAAATAAAATCTTGGGTTATTACATTATTTAAATGTATTTTTTGTCCGATTTATAAGGAAGGGAGAAAATATTTTAAAACATAAAAAGAAATAAACACCCCCCTGCAAGCCCCTCCACTGGAATCACCACTATGTACACACTGCGGTATCTTTCCTTCCAATATGAAGGAAAGACACATTGGGCCAGTGAGCCAGGGTGGCCACATACCACGGTCAAATCACAGCTCTTCAGCAGCTGTGGGACCCTGGGCAAGTGACTGAACCCCATCAAGCCTTCCCTTTCACCACCTTAGAGTCTTCATGAAGACTAAATAAGAGAATAGAGTCAAGAATACTGCACAGAGCCTGGCAAAGAGAAGGCAATCATTTCTACCTATTATTTTAAACAAATTATTTTCACAAAATTGAGGGCATCTGGAAAGACTAGCTTTGCTTCCTGCTTTCTTCACTTAGCCTTCTTCTGTGAGCATTTTCTCACATCCTTCGTGTTTGAAAACATTTTTAAAATTATACAAGTGACAATGTTTATTGAAAAAAATTAGAAAATAAACATTAACAAAAATAAGTGGAACACTATATCACACCCACTTGAATAATAAAAAAGACAGTCGATAACATGTATTAGTGAGGAACCCTCCTACACTGCTGGTGGGAATGTAAAAAAGTGCAGCCCCTTTTTGGGAAACAGCCCCATTATGTCCACACAAAAACTTATACGCAAATGTTCATAGCAGTATTACTCAGAAAAGCCAAAAAATGGAAAAAACCCAAATGTCCATCAACTGATGAATGGATAAACAAAATGTGGTATATCCATACAATGGAATATTATGCAGACATAAAAGGACACGAAGTCTTGATATATGCCCTAACATGAATGAACCTTGAAAACCGTAAGCCAGTCACAAGGATCACACAGTGTATGAAATGTCCAGAATACGCAAATCTGCAGAGACAGAAAGTAGATTGGGCTGGGGGTAGTGGCTCATGCCCCTAATCCCAACACTTTGGGAGGCTGAGGCGGGTGGATCACCTGAGGTCAGCAGTTCAAGACCAGCCTGGCCAACGTGGTGAAACCCCGTCTCTACTAAAAATACAAAAAAAAGATTAGCAAGGCATGGTGGCAGGCGCCTGTAATCCCAGCTACTTCAGGAACCTGAGGCAGGAGAATCTCTTGAACCCAGGAAGCAGAGGTTGCAGTGAGCCGAGATTGCATCACTGCACTACAGCCTGGGCTGGGGATAATAAAAATGTTCTAAAATTGTGATGACTGAAGCACAACTCTATGAATATACTAAAATCCTTTGACTATACCTTAATAAGGCTGTTTAAAAATAATAAGATCAAATAACCTGAAATCCCAATACCCAGACGTCTCAACATTCTATTTTATAGAAAAAAATCTAATTATTTTCAATAAGCATTGAAAAATGTTCTAGGCATTAACTTGTACAAATGCATATGTAATATGCATACAAAAACAAGATCATACTCTACAGTTTTATAATCTGCTTTTCTCACTGGCACACTATACATTAATCTTTCCATATCAATAATTTTCATTCTTTATCATCACTTTAAATAACTATATAATATTCTAAGATTATATTATGATTTATTCAATAAATCCCCTATCACTAGACATTTAGGTTGCTTCCAGGTTTTTTCCTTGTATAAGTAATCTCCCAAAGAATGATTTTAAGATTCTCTGGCCTCAGAAGATGAAAAAAAAGAAAACTGCCTGCTTATAAAGTGCAGAGATACTACTAAGTAAACTCTAAAAATAACAATGCTGGCCAGGCACGGTGGATCACACCTGTAATGCCAGCACTCTGGGAGGCAGAAGTAGGCAGATCGCTTGAGTCCAGGTGTTCAAGACCAGCTGGGCAACATGGCAAAACCCTGTCTCTACAAAAAATAAAAAATTAGCTGGCCTGGTGGTATACATCTGTAGTCCTAGCTACTTGAGAAGCTGAGGTGGGAGGACTGCTTGAGCCCAAGAGGTCAAGGATGCAGTGAGCAGTGATCACACAACTGCACTCCAGCCCAGGCAACAGAGTGAGACCCTGTCTCTAAATAAGTAAATAAAAAAAACAATGCCTTTACATTATTGCTGGTATTACTAAACTGTCTCACTAAAGACAATAGCTTAGCCAATAAAAATTAGCTCATTTTTAGCATGTAAAAAAAACCAGGAGATAATATGTAAATTTATAGCTCAATAAAGTTGTTATTAAAAAAAAAAAAAAAAGCAAAAAACATGCTGGGCATGGTGGCTCACACCTGTAATCCTAGCACTAGTCAGAGTTTGAGACCGGCCTGACCAAAATGGTGAAACCCCGTATCTACTAAAAAATACAATAACAACAAAAAATTAGCCAGACCTGGTGGCACATACCTCTGTAATACCAGCTACTTGGGAGGCTGAGGCAGGAGAATCGCTTGAACCTGGGAGGTGAAGGTTGCAGTGAGCAGAGATCATGCCACTGCACTCCAGCCTGGGCAACGGAGTGAGACTCTATCTCAAAAAATAAAAAAATAAAAAATAAAAAAAGCAAAAAACAGTAAGAAGTTCTCACCTCCAATATAACAAGCTTGGCGGAGATGGATCTGTGAGAAGCCCTACTGGGTTTTATCATACTTTTTTTTAACTTTCGCAGATACGGTAAATAAAAAAATGTTAAATCATTTGCATGTCTTTATTAGTGAGGTTGAACATCTTTTCACATTTATTGGCCATTAATATCTCTTGTGAACCACTTGAACATGTCTTTTAATATTTTTCTAATTTTTAATTGATCATTTTTCAATTGATTAATCAAAGCTCTTCATGTATTTATGAGGATATTAACCTAATGTCTGTCCTATATGTTACAAACATATTTTTCCCAGTTAGTCATTTGTCTAAATTTTGAACATTATTTAAGGTTTATTTTAACTGTAGATAAGCTTAACATTTTTATGTTGTCTAATCTGATTATCTTCCTTTATAAAATGTGGCTTTTATAAGTGTTAGTTTATAATGACTTCGTCATCCAATTATGTATGTCCACTTTTATTTTTTAGTACTTACGTAGCCCTACTTTTTCACATTTAAGTCTTTAATTCATTGGAGTTCATTTTGCGGGTAGGACATGAGATTGGAACGTAGCTTAACTTTCTTTCCAGCTAGTCAACCAACTATCACAACTCTAGTCACTGAAAAGTCCACTTTTTCCCGTGTTGATTTAAAATGCCATGTAATCATATGCTAAATTCTTTTTTTTTTTTTTTTACTTTTTGAGATGGAGTTTTGCTCTTGTTGCCCAGGCTGGAGTGCAGTGGCTCGATCTCAGCTCACTGCAACCTTCGCCTCCCGGGTTCCAGTGATTATCCTGCCTCAGCCTCCCAAGTAGCTGGGATGACAGGCATGCGCCACCACGCCCAGCTAATTTTTTGTATTTTTTTTAGTAGAGACGGGGTTTCATCATGTTGGCCAGGCTGGTCTCGAACTCCTGACCTCAGGTGATCCACCAACCTCAGCCTCCCAAAGTGCAGAGATTACAGGCGTGAGCCACCCTGCCCAGCCGATCATCTACTAAATTCTTAAATATATCCAAGTCTGTTTTTTTTTTTTTTGAGACAGAGTCTTGCTCTTGTTGCCCAGGCTGGAGTGCAATGGCACGATCTCAGCTCACTGCAACCTCTCCTGTCTCAGCCTCCTGAGTAGCTGGGATTACAGGTGCTCACCACCATGCCCGGCTAATTTTAGTATTTTTAATAGAGACAGGGTTTCGCCATGTTGGCCAGGCTTGTCTCGAACTCCTGACCTTGTGATCCGCCCGCCTCAGTCTCCCAAAGTGGTGGGATTACAGGCATGAGCCACCGTGCCCGGCCTGTTTCTGGTTTTTATATTCTAGTTTACCAATCTAGCAGTAACACCCCTGCTTGTTACAGCTTTTTAGTGCATTTTAGTATCTGAAAGAACAAGACTCTATTTCTCCCAATTCTCTAGCCTCACATTTCCTTTCCCTTTATATTTTTATATCTCCCTGTATAATGGACATCATAATTTGGCTGCCAGCTGGAGCACAGAGAACAAAGCAGGGCATGATGGGAGATGAGGACAGAGAGGTAAGCAGTGTACAGACCATGGAGACCCTTGTAGGCTACATTTTGGAGTTTGGACTTCATCTTGAACGCAGTGGGTGCCTATCTGGGGTGTCATAGAACAGGAACACAAATGGAATTGTGTTACGTCTGTGTGGAGAATGAAGAAGGAGTCAAGACTAGACATAGGGAGACTAACTGGTGGTTTCAATAATCCAGGTAAAAAGAGAGGGACCTAGACTAAGAGTAGCAGTAGAGATGAAGATTAAGTGGACAGATTCCAAAAATTAGTAAGATCAATTGGACTTGGTCAGTGACTGGATTTAGGGACGTATGTAGAAGAGACAGGGGTTTTAGTTTAGGACCACAAGGTAGATGACAGCTAAGGTACACAGGAGGAAAAGGTTTGAGGTTACAGTCAGATTTAGAGATGGAAGAAAGAATGAATGCAGTTTCGAAAATGCAGATTTCAGTTTAAAGCACTATTTTTGCCATTTGCTGCTTACAAGATCTTGGGTGTAAGTCAGTTAACTTCCTTGGGTCTCAGTTTCTGATTCTTGATTGGATAAAATAAGCTCCAACATCACCTACTGCTCCAAAATTCTACTCTCCTCTGAGAGAGGGTAGTAGCCTAATTCACTGTGGGAGTGCTGCAGCCAGGCTGAGATGACCCAGGAGTGGGAAAAAAGCAGGCCCAAGGGCAACCATCTACCTTAAGTTTCCTTGCAAAATCTAGCAGCGTAAAAATCTCTTTTGTATACCACACCAGCCTTCAAACACCTCTGCTCAGCAGCACTTCTCTGCTAACTCACACTCTGCCCGCTAATCATTCATTTCATTTTGTCTATAAAGTACCTATCTTCCCTACACGTGGAACCCTGTACTGGTCCTTATTAATCTTGGTACTCTCATTCCGATCCCCTTTGACTGTCTTGGGCACATACAAATGAAATGATCCAATTCTCTCTTTGATCCCTAGTAAAGGAAATGTTAAAGAATAGTTGAACACCCAAGGAAGAAACCTAAAATGATAGGAAGCTGCTGACTTTATTTTTCTTTTGTCAAGCTGATAAAATTATATTAATTTTTCTGCTTTTCTTACTCTACAAAGAATGAGGCCTCTACTCATGTCACTTAAAAAAAAAAACCAAAAAACCCTGTTTATCAAGAGCAGATAAAATGCTTATTGTAGAGAAGAAAAAAATGTCACCTACCAGAGATAACTAATGTTAATAGATTGGGGGGGTGTATATTAAAACCGTTTTTGTCCCCTTAGAAAACAAAACAGATAATCCAGCATATGCAGTTTGTATTCTGCTTTTTAAACTTACTATTATTTGGGGGCTCCATCTTTAAATGTGAGTCTCTAATCACTAAAATGACCCCTTATTAGACATCCAGGCAGACTCCAGAAAGTCTGTACGAGGGGAGTTGCCACTCCATTCTCTCCAATCCCATTTCTGCAAGAGGCCATTTCAAAAGTATTCCCCACAACCAAAGTTCTCACTTGCCATGCTGCCCTGTATGGCCTGGAGGGCTTTCCAGAAGTGGTAGAATTACCTGAGTTTCAGTTGTGATCGCACCTCTCCAAACTCCAGCTGGAGCAGTTCATTGTAGCAGGCCATGATGTTGGGGTTTTCTACATACCTCTACAAACAGAAAGAGGAATTTTGTGGATAAACAAAAGTGCTTCTTTATTTGTGCCAATAAAAATAACTCTTTAAACAAACTTCTCAACTTGGCAACTGAAATCTAAAAAATACTTTATCATTAATGATGAACAGAAGGTAAGAGAGAAACTTTATGGGCACCAGATTAGCTTTTTAAAAAATAGGGTTTAAGAATGCTTTTCCTTCTATCATTTAGTAGCCTTTCATTTTTTTAAAAAAAAAAAAGGCTTTTCTTTCAGCATCTTCCGTTAAGAGCATTTTGGTTGTTTTCATGTCACTGACAAAGCAAGGCTAGAACATGTGGAGGAGGAAATTCATTAACTAAAGTCCTACTTATATTAGGCTTTCAGAGTATATTCAACAACAGTATTTGGTCCGCTTTAAAGTCATGTAAGTTTACAATAAGCGAAAATATACTTGCATTTCTATTTGCGCCTGTATTTCACAGGGGGAACCCCAACATGGGCAACATTTTCCTGAACTAACCTCCAACAGTGGCTCAGTGAAGCCGACAGAGGATTATCTTCCACAGCAGAGGCACTGGCAGAAGCCATGGATGGATTTGCCCAGTGTCTCTTATAGCCGTGGACATTAAGTATTTTGTATAACCTTTACATAGTGGAAATATCTCACGACAAAGTGAATTACATAGTTCTGAGAAGATGGACCCATTCCACCATCAAATTAAATACTCCATAAAGACATCTTAGCAGCCACTGTGTTCTGTCATATAGTTCTATTCAAATGTAAAAATATTTGTGAACATTACTCCCCCATTTCTAAAGAGCTCCTTGCTTTTTACCTGCACAATAAGTGGACAATACTCTACCTGGCTGAAGAGGAAGCTGATGCCTAAGAGGCAGAGCCTCTGCATATCACTATCTATAAGCCCCAGCCAGACCAATCTGGGACAGGGGTCCCCTTAAAGAGTTCCTTCTACTACCACGGTGAACGCAAATGACCCGTCTGAACTGTGATCAGGGTCTTGTCTGGGTGTCAAGCAACCTAAAAATCTAGCCCTTGGTTCGTGCCTTAAAAGCTGTATGATTGTATATGAGGCACCTAACATTCCTGAGCCTGTTTCCTCAACTGTAAAGCAAGAAAAATAATACTGTTCCTACCCAATGAAGGTCACCGAGAATAAAAAGACATGATGGGAGAAAGCATTTTAAGTACAAACTGCTGCATAAATGTAAAGAACAGCTACTGTCACCCCCACAGGGGAAGGCAAGACCTGTTGACCAGGAGCATGATAAACCTTATACCTATAGGCCAAAACAGAGCCCCTTTCTTACCCAGAGGTCTGACAGAGGTGACATGCCTGCCAGCTCCCACCGACTGAGAAGGGAGGAGTATGCTAGACCTGCTGTCCACACCTCCATCAGCCAAGACCCCATGGGAACACCCAAAAACACTGGACAGGAACCCACTTCTGATTGGGCAGGGACAGGGAAAAGAGATTTCTTGACATAGTGCTTGTGCCACTCCAGGAGACATGGAATCGGGGCCTTGAGATAGACAGGGGTCCTCAGTTCCTCCGCAGGTAAGATTCTGGGATGTGAGGGCTGTGGAGGGGATGTGAGGGCTGTGGAGGGAATGTGTATTTATCCATTTCCACAAATGGATTCCCATGCATGCAATCAGACTTTTTAATTGGTCTGAATGTTATGTATCCACCAAACTTTTTTACCCCAAAGGCAGAAATCAAGGTAAAAAAAACTAGCATGTGACCAAATGTACAGCATCTTGCTCCTGTTTGCCCCCTCCCTCAAAACTTTTGTTTTGCTATGCGTGTTTAAACACTGTTCTCTTTATCTAAACATCTCATCTTTCCTGCCCCTTGCCAACTTTTGTTTCTGTCCCAAGGATCCCACAGGGCATGGAGGGTGAAGAATCAGGTCCAGGGATCCTCAGAAAGCAAGCTTATTCCCTCTGCTTAAACAGCGGTTAGTCTCCTCTCCCTTAACCTTCTTCCACGAAAGGGGCTGGGACTACAAATCCTAGACTTCTAAGCTAACTTAACCTCACTTTCTCCAAAGCATATCACACCCACGGCTAGGACCTGAGCCCATCTTTGCTAGGCCTCTCCCAGTGGTTCTCAACTCTCAGCTGCATATTAGAATTATCTGCAATTTGAAAAAACACCAGCATGCAGGCCCCTCCCCAGACCAACTGAAACAGACTCCCTAGGGATGTTATTCAGGTGATTCTAATGTGCACCCAGCAGTGAGTCTACCGACTCAATGGCCAAATCCAATTGAGGAAGCTAGCAGGTCCTCCACCTACTTTTCAATCCTGAAACATGGCTAAAACACAAAATAGCTCATGGCCTTTCCTATGCCCCATCCCCTGTACCAGAGATATCATTATGGTGTTAGCTTTCAGATTCAAGCCTTGGCACCACCGCCTACAGCCATGACTGGGAGAATCCCCTTCCTCCAGGTCTAACTCTTCTTCTCAGTAACCTGAGCATCCTTTTGTCACACAAAAGTAAGAGACTCTGGATGAGATTAGTTAGCACTAATTAGTTAGTGGTCTCTGAGGACTGGTTGACCGCATGAATTCCTCACCTACAAAATGGAGAGCCTGCCACTACCTCTACATTTCCTAAGTCAGGTGCTTCTAAAGTGACTACTGTAAAGCTTTTTGGGCTTTTTGCATGGACGTGTCCTCACAGGGGCGTGCACCTAAAAGTGGTTCCATTGAAGTCTTCAGGGGGTTCCTTGATTTTGATTAAGGTGTGCAGGCTTGAGGCAGCAAGAGTGTGTGTGTCAGTTACTTTTCAAGTTAGCTCCATGATAACACAGTAATACTAAGAAAATATAAGGACCATGATTTACTTGACCTTCTACCAGGATGCTCTTTCTGGTCCACAGAACTATGCTGATAGACTTCTTGGGCAGAATTTCAAACACGGCAGTCACCAGGCACAAATTTCCAACAGTGCATCTATGTACTTTCAAAGAGACCTCAAACAAACACAAGCCTTAATGACCTCATGCGGCTGTAGGTAAGCAAATAACCCAAGGCAGAGGGAATAATCTATCCCCTAAGTTTCACTAGAAAGTGGAAGCTTCTAAGGTTCTTGTTAAAAGGAATAGCCAGTTTTGCGGCCTTAGTTGCAAAAGCAAGCAGCTTAGGGAGGGATGACATAAAGATCCATAGGGGACTTCTGACTTCCAACCTGGGACGCCTTACTGCTGGCTAAGTAAACTGTTCTCATACAATTTAACAGGAATTACTAGAGGTCAGGGAATGGAGGTAGGTGCTGATGTGTATGTATGTTGTGGGGGTTGTCCAAAAAGGGGGAAACACAAGAAAGCCACAGCTATATAATCAATAACCTAATGTGTGCTTTTTATATAAAACTGTATTTACATATAAACTAAAATCTTAAATTCCACCTCATCTGATATTAATATCAATATCAATATCTGTGTTCTTTTTGTCTGCATTTACTTGCTACCTCTATGTTCTTTTACTTAAGCTCCTTTTATCATGTTAAGTGTCTTGTAACTGTTATAGAATTGTACTTTTTCAACCCAATCTAACAGCCTATCTTTTAAAGGAAGAATTCAGCCCATTCATATACATTTGCTTTTATTCTTTCTTTTTTTTTTTGAGATGGAGTCTTGCTCCCACTGTGCAGGCTGGAGTGCAGTGGTGCAATCTCAGCTCACTGCAACCTCCACCTCCTGGGTTCAAGGGATTCTCCTTCTTCAGCCTCCTGAGTAGCTGGGATTACAGGTGTGCGCCACCATGCCCGGGTAATTTTTGGATTTTTAGTAGAGACGGGGTTTCGCCATGCTGGCCAGGCTGGTCTGGAACTCTTGACCTCAGGTGATCCACCTGCCTCAGCCTCCCAAAGTGTTGGGATTACAGGCGTGAGCCACCGTGCCCAGCCTGCTTCTATTCTTTCTATCTGACTTTGTGTTTCTCACTGATTTTACACTGTTGTTTCATCTTTCTTCAGCTTCTCAATTTGATCAAGTTGCTGTAAACTCCCTATTTCCTCTTGTTATTTTGGAAGTTTTACTTAAGTTTCCTGTTCTATCAGCGGTTACCCTCCTTTTCATCATCTCAAAAGCAGACATAGATTTCTTTACTATTATTTGAAAACAAGATACCAATTACCCCCAGAATAAAGTATTTCCCACATAGAACATTTCCCACAAAGATGAATACTTCTTGGGCTCATTCTCACTCTACCTCTTAGATAAGTCTGTAAGAATGCCTGCATCCTCCCCACAAACCTTACAAACACCTAGCGTTGACTAAGATAGTCTAGAATTTAAAAGTGAGCTATTATTAAAATTCCTCTTTGAGTATGTCCCTTCTTTTAAAAGAATATTATATATTCTAGTCTATGTTTATCTGTTTGGGACTAATCTTATACATATATGCATAAGTGTGGGTACATCTATAAAGAAAGACAGAGAGCCAGAGAAAGCAGGAGGCACCATGAAGGAGTATGCACATGGCAGGGTTTATAGCTCACTACTTTTCCCTCCTCTCCTCTTCAAATTTCTGTTGTAGTTCATTTCTTATATGGTTAGAGTCCTTTTCTGAATTATTTTCCTTGGGGAACTATATCTCTGAATTTTATGTATATCCCCAAAAGAAAGGTTAAACAATAACTTGGCTAGATATATGATTAGTTTGTAGTCTCTTTCTCCCTGTATCCTCTCATCAAACTAGACATTATTATTGTTTCATACAGTAAATATGTATTTATATTTACCCTATACAGACCATTTTCTTTACTCATCTCTTGCATTTCAGACCTTCCACCTGGAATTCACATTCCTTCTGGTTGAAGTATATCCTTTAGCATTTCCTTGTGAGGATCTGCTAGTTACAAATTCTCTCAATGTCCACATTTCTGAAAGTCTTTATTTCACCTTCATTGTTGAAAGATATGTATGCTAGGTATAAAATTCTAGGAAGTTCTTTTCTTTTCTTTCTTTTTTTTTTTTTTTTTTTTTTGAGATGGAGTATCGCTCTGTTGCCAGGCTGGAGTGCAGTGGCACAATCTCGGCTCACTGCAACCTACCTCCAAATCCCTGGTTCAGGCGATTCTCCTGCCTCAGCCTCCCAAGTAGCTGGGATTACAGGTGTGCACCACCATGCCCAGCTAATTTTTGTATTTTTAGTCAAGACAGGGTTTCACCATGTTGGCCAGGATGGTCTCAATCTCCTGACCTCGTGATCTGCCCACCTCGGCCTCCCAAGGAAGTTATTTTCTTTTATTGCATTGAAAATGTTATTCCACTGTCTTGTTTTCCACTTGTTGCTGCTGAGAAGCTAGCTGTTAGTGTGTGTGTCAGTCTTTTGAAGGTAATCTTTTACCTGTGGCTGATTTTAAGTCCTTTTCTTTTTTTTTTTTTTTGCAGTTTCACTAGGATGTGTCCTCTTTTAAAATTTACTCTACTTTGGATATGTCAGAATTCATGAATCTATGAATTAGTTTTTCATCAGTTCTGGAAAATTTTCAGCTAGTAACTCTTCAAATATTTCCTCTGTTCTATCCTTCCTCTTCTCCTGGAACTCCAGTTACATATACACAACTAAAACTTCACACACTATCCTCCACATTTCTTCACCTGTCTAACTTATTTCCTGTCATTGTATTTCTGTGCTACATGTGACTTACTAAGTTTTAAATTGTTCAATTACTGTGTTTTCATTTCTTACAATTCAGTTTTGTTCCTCATAAAATTTGCTATGCCACTTTTAATAGTTTCCTATTCCTTGCAGATATTTCCTGGTTTATCTTTTATTTCTTTACCTATAGTAAGCATACTTGCTTTATAATTCATATCTCATAACTAATCTCTGAGGGGTGTGAGGGTCTGTTACTAGGCTTTTTTCCCTCCTAGTTTTTCCTTGGGAT